>NC_000010.11:78476428-78627943 GCF_000001405.40 Homo sapiens
CGAAGGCCAAACTCAACTGTGTGGCACTGGAAGCTTGTGTCAATTTGATCTGGTTGTGGAATCTTTTCTTCCACACAGCTTGCGATGCTTGCTCAGTTTTCTTTTGGAAGATATGAAGAACGGTCACACTATCCCATCTGACCCCATCCAAATGCCCTGTGCTTCAAAGGCCAAAGACATGCTGTGTTGTCCCATCTCTCAGTGATCGCCCAGGTTGTGCCCTGGCCTGGAGTGTCTGTCCCACATTCCCCAGCATACAGAGATGTCTGGGCTTAGGGGGATGCCCTTTTCAGCTTTCAGTGTTGTTTGCTGCATGGACCTTGCTGATCTTGAAATAGGCTCTGAGCCTCAGAGTTTTCCACAAATGTCCAGTTCCTGCCCCTGCCCCTGCCCCAGATCAAGGGTAATTGTGGAGGGCTCTGTGGTCCAGGAGCCCAAGAAGGCCCTTACAGCACAGCCTCTTCCTGCCAATCCAGCCTTGCTGCAAGGTCCAGATAAGCCCCTTATGTGGGAGCTTGAGCAGAGATCCCAGTTTGTGTTTAATAGAGCAGCTACAGTCAAGCTTGTGATCTGCAGGTGTTAGAACACTCATTGGAGTCTCACTAGCACAGTGGACGGCTCTCATTAGGGTGTCATTAGCTAGCTGCCTCATTTGCACGTTCAGATCAGGCTCAGGCTTCATGACAGCAAGGGCTATAAAAGGACCAGCAGGGCTGTGAAGACCGCTGCACATACTTTAGTCTTGAGGGGGGCCACACAGGGGTCGGTGATAAGGGCAGAATTAGAGCCCTACGATGATCACACAGCACACGCCAACACAGTCTCCCGGTTGCTCACTCCGGACACCCTGGGAGATCCCCGTGGTCTGCTTTCTCTTCTCCTTCATATCAAACCCAACCATCCTCTGTCAGTTCCTTTTCCCCAGTGCATCCGCGTTTGGTTTTCTTCCCTTCGTGCTGGTGTCACCGCATAGCCAGCTGGCGGCACAGATTCCCACTTGCCTCCATGGGCCTGGGTCTCCACTCCAGCAGGCTGTATGAGCTCTCAACGCATGGACTGGATTGTGTCATCCCCTGCTAAACTCTTCAATGACTTCCTGTTGAACTTGGAAGGATGTCCAGATTGCTTCCCATGGGGCTTGCATCCATGTTCTAGCGTGTCCCACCTCCACTGGCCCCCAACGCTCCAGCCACTCTGTTCTGGGACACTCAGCATGCCCCTACCTGGGCTCTGTGCTTGTTCTTCCCTCTGCCTGGGTCACACGCCTCCCAAATCTTGCGTGGATGTTTCCTTGTCATTCAAGATAAGGGCTGGTGGGTCTTGATGCCTGCTGTTTGCATGCATGCGTGTGCCCCTGTGTGCAAGCCTGTGGGATTGGGGTGGGCAAGAGAAGAGCAAGGAATGGTGGTGCTGGAGGAGAGAGCCCAGGCTGCGGATAAGAACACACAGCAAATACCTGGTGAAAAGGAAGCCATGCTGAAAGGCGGGCTGTGTGGTTGGATGGACTTGGCTTCCAGCCCTCATTTCAGCCCTAAATGGCTGTGGGACCTCAGCCAAATTACTTTCTCCTCCAAGCCTCAGTTTCTCCATCTGGAATAATGAGATCCTCATCACAGCTATTCTTCAGGGCCATTGTGAAGGCAGCAATAACTTAGATGAAGGATTGCAGGCAGTGCCTGGCATAGCATCAGGACTTAATAAATAGTAATGTTTTAATTTTAAGTAGAAATCAATGTAACAGAGAGACATGAGCTGGGACACAGAAGACTAGCATTCGTGCTTCTGACTGCTGTGTGACCTTATGTAGCCAGCTGCCCCTCTCTGACTTCTGCCACCACCAACAGCCACAATTTGGAGGGAATGGGTATGTTTTCTCTCACCGAATCTTTCTGGAAAGTGGGGCCAGAACAGCTCTCAGTATCACAAGAGGACCACAGAAGATTCATACTAGGGTTCCAGACTTAGGCTGGGAGACTGGACAGCCTTTGTGGTGAAGACACACATGATAAGAAGTATTATTTGGGGGACATCGACTATGAATTGTGCATGGTGCCAGGAGTTTTATACAAGATATAAAATCCTTATGTCTGTCCTGCTAATTAGGTGTGCTCTTCCTTATTTTACCAATGAGCAAAATGCCAAGACTGGTGATTTGCCAAAAGCCATTAAGATAGCAATTGGAAGCATTGCTAACCGACTTTAAGATTTAAAGTCTATTTTCTTTCCAGAAACCACAATATAGAAGTGTCCCCTAAAGCTTTCTTTTTTTTCTTTCAATTCTTTTGGGAATATATGAAGCTTGCTTGCTGATATGGTAGCCCCTAGCCAGGTGTGGCTGGTCACATTATAGTAACTAAAATGAAATAAGAGAACAAATTCAGTTCCTCTGTCTTACCAGCTGCATCTCAAGTGCTCAATAGCCACATGTAGCTAGTAGCTGCCATATTGGAAGGTGAGGATATGCAACAATTCCATCGTCACAGCAAGTCTTATTGGACAATGCTGCCCCAAAGATAAGAGAGCAGCATGCTCTATCTATGAAAGGCCGGGACCTTGACTGGGGACTTTAATGAATGGCACAGGTGGTTGCACACCACTGGATGTAGATTATGGTGCTCAGGGGCAAGCAAAGCTCACCATGGGGCAGGGAGATGAGTTTGCCTTTAGAGGTGCAGGAATGACTCCTTTCCCAAGCTACCTACTGCTCTGGTCTTACGTGTTCTCTGGAGTTCTGGAGTAGCACTGTGTTAAACTGCTTGCTTCTCGGAGCGTGGCTCACCAACAAATAATATCAACAAACCTGGAAGTTCATTGGAAATGCAGAATCTCAGATCCCACCCCAGATCTGCTGAATCACAGTCTGCATTTTGAAGAAATTCCCCACGTGACTCGTGTGCCCATTGCGTTTGAGAAGCAGGGGGCTACACCACACTCTACAATGTTTACTATGGCATTTAGTGTCAACTCTTCCAGGAGATGTCTTCTAAGTTCTATGAAATCTGTGTATCTAGAACCATCCGGTCGGCCACAAGGCTCTGGTGGGGAAGCATTTTCTTTAGAGTGTAACACAGGTCATTTTTTAATTTCTTTTAGATTGTACATATCTAAGATCAAAGCTAGAACCTTAGAGATAATCTAGCCCCAAATATTCATCTCAGAGATGGAGAAACAACCTCAAAGAAGAAAAGCAGCTTATCCAAGATCATACAGCAGTGCTGGAGCCTACACCACGTGACAAGGTACAGCGTTTCAGTGACACATCATACTGGACAAGAGAAAAGCACAGTGGTATAGTGGGAGGACCTGGAACTGATGTCCTTTAATGCCAAATGTGGGGAGCGTCTATTATTGTCCCAACCCTGTCCAAGGAAGTGCTACTGGTCACCATGGTTGCCATTTACTGGGCACTCACTGTGTACCAGGCACTTTCCTGGGTGTTTGCGCTTGTTATTTCATTGCGTCCTCATGACAGTTCTCTGATGTAGGCATTGTTACTTTCTCCTCTTTAAAGATGAAGATGAGGAAACTGTGGTATAGCAAGGTTAAGGAGCTCACCCAACATCACACAGATAGCAGACAGTGGAGCCAGAATTCAAACCCAGGACATCAGGCTCCAGAGCCCATGCTCCTCCCTCCCCTGTACACTGTAGAGAATTCAGAGGTGAAGCAGTTCCCTGGACACCTGAGGCTGCACAAGGCAAGGGAAAGGCTACTGTGGACACTCAGTCATCTACCCCAGATGTTCTACTTGGAAGTAAAGACAGAATCCCCAAAACGCTCATTTTAGAACACATGCTGTTAGGAAATAACATGTAGAATCATTGGCTTTAGAACTTGGATTTTAGAACGTGAGATAAATTGTGGTGAGATGAGAGGAACAGTTATCATCTTAACACCAGAGGCAAAAGTTTATCTTAGGGAGAGAACCATGTTTGTTTAAGAAAAAAGGTGGTAAATTGCTTGATTGAGGGAGGTAAAACCTTAAGAACATGAGTGGGAAAGAGAGGAAGACACAAAAATAAGCTAAACTAGTGCACGGGAAAAGGATGATCAGATATTTGAGTGTTGGGCAGAGAAGAGAGGAGAGAAGAAACAAAGGTGAGAGGAGGCAAAGCAATATATTTCCTGAAAAGATCAAGGCACTCTTTTAAAAGCAGTATCTAATATATGATTGCTTTATTTTTTATTTTTTGCATTAGTTTGATATCCTGACATCCTACACACTTTTTTCCTCTTAATTTCAGTCATGTCTGCTTTGTACCAAAGGGGGCTTGTGTGTGTGTGTGTGGGTGTGTATACACTCATACGTGCCCATGTGCATGTGCACACTGATGTGTATCAAGTATCAAGGGAGGGTGTTTAATTTCTCTCTAGGTGGGGCTGTGGCAATATCCATACCGAGTCTAATTAAAGGGAAGCAAAATCTTCCATGCGGATATGACTAACAAAAATGTCGGCCACCAGTGGTGAGCATTTGTTGTTTTTGCCTGCCCATTCATTGATTAATTCTTCCAAGAAATATTTACTGAGCAACTATTATGTGGTAGGTAATAGATGAGGTCAGGGCAGGACAAAAGGTGGGGGGCAGGTGGTATAGGGCTTTGTGTAGTTTCACCAAGACTTGTTCCTGGGTGAATTGAAGAACTGCTGCTGCATTTTGAGCAGAGGAGGGAGCTGATTCTGTAGTTGTCAAGGATCTTCCTGAATCCTAGGATGATAATAGATTGTGAGGGAGGTGAGAGAGGTGGCAAACGGACCAATTAGGAGGCTACTGCTATAGTCCTAGCAACCCTTGAAGCTGAGTTGGATGGGAGTAGCAGTAGAGACAGTGAGGATTTCTGTTACGAAATGTGAAGGAGGAAGTTGGCATAGAGGTCTGGAATTAAGGGAGAAAAGTTCAGATGGAAATATGAATTTGGGAATCATCAACCTATAGGTGGAATTTAAAGCCCTAAGATAAGGCCCTTTCTCAACCCCATCTCTGAGATTTTCAAGGTAATGAGAGTAGATTGAGAATAAAAGAGACTAAGGACAGAGCTCTGGAGGATTTCATTCAGCCTTTTGTTCACACCACTCAACTGAAACCACTTTGTTAAGGTCACCAATGATCTTGCTAAATCTAAAGGCCCTTTGTCAGTACTCATAGTATTTGGCCCACGTTTGAATAAAGTTTGTTTCGTATGCAAACCAGAGAGTCATGATTAATACACCCTTCCTTCAGAATTCCTAGAGATATTAGGATAAATGCATGGGACCCTGTATGTGTGAAAAAATTTCTGTCAAATTTATTTGGATCTCAAAGGACAGCAGGCCACCTCATCTGATTTCAGGGACACAAACAAATCATATAACTTAACATATACAATGGGGGAGAATTAGGCTATAACATTTTGAAGTCTTGAGCCTGGATGATGCAAAGGAATGCTTGAGATCACTGTGTTTTATTAATTTCAAATTTCAATATTCATTGCTGGTATATAAGACAGCAATTGAGTTTTGCATATTGACTTTGTGTCCTGCGACTTTACTGTACTCACTTATTTGTTCTGGGAGTTTTTTGTAGCTCATTTGGGGTATTCTACATAGACAATCATGTCATCTGTGAATAAAGGAAGTTTAATTTCTTCTGTCGCATTTCTTTTTCTTGTCTTATTAAACCAGATAGACCAGTACAATAAATAAATAATAAACAAGATTATTATCTTATTAAACCAGATAGGATCAGTACAATAAATAAATAAACCAGTACAATATTGAGTAGGACTGCTGACAAAGAACATTCTTATCTTGTTCCAAATCTTAGGAAGAACGTGTACATTATTAAATATGATGTTTGTTATTAAGTTTTTTTTAGATGTTCTTTATGAAGTTTAGAAATTTTTGCCAATATTTCTAGTTTGCTAGTTATAGTTTCTAGTTTGCTAGGAATTTTTTTCAAATCATGAATGGGTGTTAAATTTTGTAAAATGCTTTTTGTATCAATTAATATGCTGTAAATGTTCTTCTTTAGCCTGTTGATATGGTTAATAAATTACATGGAGTGATCTTTTAAATACTGAAGCAGCCTTGCATACTTGAATTACTTGGTTGTGGCATGTACTTCTTTTTATACATTGTTGGCTCTGATTTGCTAATATTATGTGGATTTCCACACATAATATTTGTGAAACATATTGGTCTGTAGTTTTCTTTACTTATAATGTATTTATCTGGTTTTGGTACTGGAGTAATGCTAGCCTGTAGAATGAGTTAGGAAGTGTTCCATCTGCTTTTATTTTCAGGAAGAGATTGTAGACGATTGGTATTACTTCTTCATTAAGTGTTTGGTAGAATTAACCAGTAAAACCCTCTGGGCTTGGAGCTTACTTATTTGGAAAGATTTAATTTCTTTAATAAATAGAGGGCTCTTCAGGTTATCTGTTTCTCTTTATGTGCATTTTGGTAATTTATGTCTTTAAACAATTTGCCGATTTCATCTAAGTTATTAAATTTGTGGGCATAGAGGTGTTTTTGAAATTGTTCCTACTATCCTTTTAATGTCCATGGGATCAGTAGTGATAGACCTTCTTTCATTTCTCATGTTGGTAATTCATGTCTTCTGTCTTTTATTCTCAGTTAGCCTGGCTATAGGTTTATTAATATTACTGATTTTTTCAAAGAAAAAGCTTTTGGTTTTGTTGATTTTCTTTATTGCTTTTCTGTCTTCAATTTTATTGATTCTTGCTCTAATATTTATTATGTCATTTCTTCTGCTTACTTTAGGTTAAATTTGCTCTTTTTCTAGTTTTACAAGGCGGAAGCTTAGATTATTCATTTTAGATCTTTTTTCTTTTCTAATATATGCATTTAATGCCGTTTATTTCCCTCTAAGCACTGATTTCACTGCATTCCACAAATTTTGGTAAGTTGTATTTTCATTTTTATTTAGTTGAAAATGTGCTTTAAATTTCTCTTGAGAATTCTTCATTGACTCATGGATTATTTACAACTGAATTGTTTAATTTCTAAATACTTGGGGATGAGTCTACTGATTTTTGGGATGCACTGTGCACATTTCTAAAGTTCTCCAGAGCTGCCTTAGGGTTGCCTAAGGAGGAGATGCTGAAGCCTAGAGGAACAGGTCTGGCTGTGGCACTTCTGCCTTCACCTTGCTGCACGCAGAAATTCACAATGTCGACATGTTTTGTTAATTGGCTAGGTTATACTGTGGTGTGCTGGTAAGAACCTGCTGGTTAGCACAGCAGAGGCTTATTCCTGACTCCTGCCACTGGTCAATAGAGGGTTGTAGGGAGGCTCTGCTCCATGTAATCACTTTGGAACTCAGGCTAACAGCAATGTTGCCATCCTGAAGCTGCAGCATCTGGAGCATGTGGCCTTTTCCATGACCATGGCAGGGGAGGAAACAGCTGGAGGGGGCTCGCACACTGGCTATTCTAGCACTTAGTCCAGAACAGCTGTCACACCCACTGGTATCAGAGTCCTTTGGCCAGAAGTAGTCATGTGGTACTACCTAACTGCAAGGGAGCTGTCAAACGTAGAGGATTAGATGGAGTTTTTGGTAAACTCTACTGTCTCAACCACGATTGGTGTTCTCCCTAAGACTTCTTTGAAATGCAGTTTTGCTGCCCACTCCCCTTGTTGAGCAGACAAGAGTGCTATTTCAACATTCATTTCCAAGGAATAGATGAACCATGAGCACTTCACAACCCTTTGACCTTGCCTCAGGTCACATTCTCTCCATGTATATAACTCAGCACATATTAGCTGGAATTCTGGACTCCTCAGTATGAGACTTTAACAGGTAAGAAGGGTGAATAAGCCTCAAGTGCATGTGTGTTAGAAGCTTTATAAACCCCTTTTTCTGTCACATGCAGACAATTAGAGAAAGAAAATATGCAAAAAATGCTTTGGTGATTGCCAAGACTCAAAGGATTTGAGAGTAATTCCAATTCACATATATTTATTGCTCCATTGTTTTGCCAGGTATAGGAATATTTGTAAAAATGAAGAAGGTAACAGGAGGAATTGCTCAAGTTAGACTAAGATGCAGGATTCCTGAATTCGAGCAAATGACAACACAGTAGACAGTGGCTGCTGGCCATTACTATGTATTATTATTATTTTTTGAGACGGAGTCTCGTTCTGTTGCCCAGGCTGGAGTGCAGAGGTGCGATCTCAGCTCATGGCAAGCTCTGCCTCCTGGGTTCACGCCATTCTCCTGCCTCAACCTCCCAAGTAGCTGGGACTACAGGTGCCCGCCACCACACCTGGCTAATTTTTTTGTATTTTTAGTAGAGACGGGGTTTCACCGTGTTAGCCAGGATGGTCTCGATCTCCTGACCTCATGATCCACCCGCTTGGCCTCCCAAAGTGCTGGGATTACAGGCGTGAGCCACCGCCCCCGGCCTCTATGCATTATTAAGTGTAGCTGTTGAGGCGTTTTCCATCATGGGGGAAACATGCGTGGCATATGCAGGCTTTCATCTTTGCCCGTTCTGATCTTTTCTCTCTCTTTCCCTCCCTCTTTTGCTCTCTTTCTATATATAGTTTATCTGTGTGTCTCTGTGTGTGTGTGTGGGGGGGGTGCCAACCCCCTGTGCAGTAAAAAATGTGCATATAATTTTTACTCCCACACTACTTAACTCCTAATAGTCTACTGTCAACCAGAAGTCTTACCAATAACATAAACAGTTGATTAGCACATATTTTGCATTTTATTTGTATTATAGACTGTATTCTTACAATAAAGTAAACTTTAAAAAAGAAAATGTTATTAAGAAAACCATGGACAGGTGCGGTGGCTTACATCTGTAATCCCAGCACCTTGGGAGACTGAGGCAGGTGGATCACCCGAGATCAGGAGTTCGAGACCAGCCTGTCCCATATGGTGAAACCCCATCTCTACTGAAAAAAAAAAAATACAAAAAAATTAGCCAGGCCTGGTGGCGTACTTCTGTAGTCCCAGCAAATTGGGACGCTGAGACAGGAGAATGGCTTGAATCTGGGAGGCGGAGATTGCAGTGAGCCGAGATCACACCACTGCACTCCAGCCTGGGAGACAGAGCAGGACTCCATCTCAAAAAAAAAGAAAAGAAAAAGAAAATCATAAGCAAGGGAAAATATATTAGCCTATTCAACATGAAGACGATGACGATAAAGACCTTCATGATGATCCACTTCCACTTAATGAGTAGTAAAGAGGAGGGGTTGGTCTTCCTGTCTCAGGGGTAGTAGAGATGAGAGAAAATCCATGTATAAGTGAACCTGCACAGTTCAACCCCGTGTTGTCCAAGGGTCAACTGTATTTATACTAATATGTTCATAATATCTATTTTAGTTTTTATTGAAAGAGTAATTCAAATAGTCCTAAAAAGTATGTGATCAAAAGTAGGTTTCTGCTTTACACCTGGTCCCCAAGTCCTCCTCCCTAGAGGCAACAATTCTCATAAACTTCTTGGATGTACTTTCAGAAATAATCTATGAATGTGCTTACCAAAATAAATAGCACAACTTACTAAAACAAATAACATTCTTCTTCAACACCAGCAACAAACAATGAGATAAAATGATAGAAGATATCATAATTTTCACAATAGCCATGAAAACTATAAAATGTCTAAAATTTGGCCTAAAAATATTGCAGGATGACTTTATGGAGAAAAAGTTTAAAACCCTAGTGGAGTGTACAAGTGAACATACACAATTCTGTATGTGAGCCATATTCGTGGATTGAACAGCTTTATAGCTATGTCAATGCTCCTCAAATAAATCTATGCATTCAGTGCAATTCCAAATAAAAAATACTCATCACAAATTTTTGAGAAAGTTGGTAATATTACTCTAAAATTTATGTGAAAGAGTGTCATTATACAAAGAACTAAGTTTTGAGCAATTCTGAACACTAAAAACAAAGAGGTAGAATTTATCCTCCTGTGTAATAGGTACATTACAATGCTACGGTAATAGGAAGCAAAAATGTAGTGACATATTGTAGAACAGAGGAGTGAACAGAACAGAGGGCTCAGAGATAGACCCATGTATATGAAATTATACATGGTAAAGGTGTTTACAAATCAGAGGGCAGATTTTTGTTTACTGGAAGACTGTGGGAAAAATTATTATGTCAATAAAAACAAAATTGGATCTGTCTCACAGCATGAACAAAGGTGAGATCAAAATGAATTAAAAACTTAAATGCAAAAGATAAAATATAAATATATGTGGATGAAGAGACAGGCAAATATCTTTGTGTCTTTTGAGGAAGAGGAAGATGTTCTGAACAAGACTGAAAAAGCACAAGCCCCAAGGGAAAAATAATCCATGGATCTGATCAGATCAAAATCAAGGATTTCTATTCAATAAAGGTCACCATAGACAAAATTAACAAAACCTGAGAAGTAATGAATAGCAAGACTGTACAAGAAAATTTTTGCCTATGAGTGAGAAAAAGATAGGAAATACAAGAGGAAAAAATGGCCAAAGACTGTGAGTAGGCAGTGCACAAAGGGAGAGACCCAGGGGACAAAAAATTGTAGATCACTCTGCAATAGAGCAATACACGTTTGACCAAGGTGTGACTTCATTCACATTAGCTGGCCAAAAAATCAAAAGTTGGTGAACATCAGATTTGACCCAAAATGTAGAAAACTGGAAATTCTTATCCACTGTTCCGGGAACTGTAGATGGTCTGTTTGTACATATGAAAATTCGATGATCAGATACTCCATGATCCAGAATCTACTCTCACCTTCCTGTCAATCCTAGAAGCCATTCACTGAATCATGTTTGTGGGAGTAGAGGGATAGAGGCTATTTAGGGGTCTATGCTGGGGCCTTGAGTAAACTTATTAGAAAATGCTATGCAGCAGTTAGAAGCAAGAAAAAAAAATGCACATGGAGAAACATGATCCCATACAAAATCATGTTGAGTGAATAAAAATTATAGAATGAGATATGTAATATGCTAACTTTTATGCAAATTTAAAGCACATACAATCACAAAATTTACTACATAAAGAAGAGTGATACATCAGACACATTAGACGTGTTCCTACCATGGGAGGGGGAAAGGGAGTGAGAAACACGCATGGGGAAGAATAAACAAAACAAGAGAAGGCAGAATGGGAGAGTCTCCCAGAAATGGTCAAGTATGATCAACTCCAGCCTCTGCCCTAAAGAATAAGAAATCAATAAATAGATCAAGAATTCATTTTATTCCTTAAATTTTACCACAAAGTTGAGTTGTACTTTATTTGTTGACACATTACATTTCATAGACAATTGAATCTTCTTTAATTTTAGAGTTTACGTTTTCTTTTTATATTTAGGAAACTTTTTGCCAGGTGCCAAATATTTTCTTGTGCCTTTTGAAGACATGCTAGGATTGAGGCACGGACCTATACCATTATAAAACATAATTGTGTACATAGTGTCAGATTTCATGGTCATATTACAATATATTACAATGTATTCACTAGTCAGATTTTGCTGGATATTTGGATTGTTTACAGTGTTCTTTTTACTTATAAACAATGTTGCAATGAACATTCTTGATATTCGTCTTTGCACTGGTGATGTATATCAGCAGGTTACATTGCTAAAAGTAGCATTGCCAAGGTGATAGATATTTATATATTTACTTGAAAAGAAACTGACAAATTACCCTTGTACCAACTTATACTGTCACCCTTGCCAACATTAGGTATTATCAAACTTTTTAATTTTTGCTGTTAATTAATGAAATATTTTATTCATTATTTCGATTTTTATTTACTTAATTAGAAATGGCTTTGCATAATTTTTTCATATTGTCAAAAGCCATTCATATTACCGTAGTTGGTCTTTTTCTTATTAATTTTCCAGTATACCTTATTTATTAAGAATGTTAATTCTTTTTCATATGTTCCATAAATTTAAAGCTAGCTAGATATATGTTTATCTCTATCTTTGTGTGCTGTATCTAATTGTGATTTTTGCAATAACTTGATGGCAAAACCAGCAATTAGTTTTGCACCAGCCAAATATATCTAGATAATTTATTTTTATCGTATAACTTTCATGGCTTTATTTTTTAGTTTCATTTAATCTACCTGGAATTTACTTTAAGAAGTAACATAGGGACTTAAGAGCTTAATTTTTTCCCCTGTACTTAGTCAATTGTCCCAACATTATTTATTGAATCACCCATATTTTCCCATTAATTTAGGATATCACATTTGTCATACACTAAATATACTAAATTATTTGGAAGCCGTTTAAAAAGTTAGAACTTTTTTCCCATTGATTTGCATCTTGTTAATATGCCAATATGTAATAGTCATTCTAGATTTATGGGATAATTGGATTCACTCCTTCTTAGCACTCCTATTTTCATAATTTTTGTGTTGCAAAGTTTCTTGTAAGTTTATTTTCCATATATATATTGTAGAATCATATTGTCTAGCTTAAAAAAAGTGAGGAGGGCGTCTGTGCAAGGGGATGGCCTGCCATGGGGAAGCAGAGCACAGGCCAGGAGAGGAGCATGTCCATGCAGGGAGAAGCTTGTGGCCAGAACGAGAGATTGGTTACGTATAGATCAGATAAGTAAATCTCATGTTTCTGGCTGTGGGAGAAGAGAATTGCAACTATAGAAAAGGAGAAAACCGAATGGATTCTGTGGTACTGGATAGGAACAGAAGGTTTTGTTGTGAACTCATGGTTAAGTATAAATGTATAAATGTAAATGTGTATATGTGCATGTATGTGAAGTGAGTATATTCTAGCTCTGATCACTGAAAGAGCCTGGGGGTGGTGACACCCCAGTGGCAAAGAGCACACCTAGCAGCAGTTTTTGGCTTCTACATAGCATCTGTATTATGCACCAACCTAATTGTTTCCTGTTGTTGCTGTAACAAATCACCACACACTAAGTGAATTGAAACAACTAATTTATTATCTCACAGTTATGGAGGTTAAAAATCCAAAATGGGCCCCACAGGGTTAAAAATCAAGATATTGGCAGAGTAGGGAACATCAGTTCAACCTGGAGGTTCCAGCCGTGAATCCATTTTCTTTCCTTATTTCAGCTTCTAGAGGCCACCACATTCCTTGGCTTGTGGTCCCTTCCATCTTCACTGCCCACAGAGGCCTCACTGTGATGTCTGCTTTCTTCCTCACATCTCTGATTGATTTTCCAGGCTCCTTCTTTCACTGATAAGGGCTCTTCTGGTTACACTGAGCCCACCTGGGTAATCCAGAATAAACTGCACATTTCAAGATAAATTCCTCTTAATAACATCTGCAAAGCCCCTTTGCCATGTAAGATAACATATTCACAGGTTCTGATGACTAGGATGTGGACATCTTTGGAGGCTATTATTCTGCCCACCATCCCCTTCTCCATTAAAGGGGCCTGGGAGCAATGGCTGATTCCAGGGCTGAAGCATCTTGTTGTGCCAGAAAATAAGAAAGGATTCAAAGAATGAAGGAGGCCTTTCTAAAGGACACAGAAGCCAAAGGCCAGGTCAAGAACAAGATACATAATGACAGTTACAAATTGCAAGTTAGAACAACATAGATATCCAGGAGTTCATATGGATATAAATAAATTAATGAATACATTCTGAGCTTCAGGATGGGCGCTGGTCACCAGAAAGTCCAAGGCATGATTTGAGAGTTGAAACTTTCAGACCTTCCAGGAGAAGGAAGGAGGGACAGATAGGGCCCAATTACCAATGGTCAATGATGTCATCAATCATGCCTCTGTAATGGAATCTTTACAGAAACCCCTGAATTGACAGGGCTGGAGAGCTTCTGAATTGGTGAACACATGGAGGTGCTGGGAAGGTTGCTTACTTGGAGAAGGCCTGGAAGCTCCGTGTCACTGTCTATCTTCATACTTTGCCCTATGTATGTCTTCTCATTTGGCTGTTTCTGAGTTACACCATTTATAATAAACTGGAATACATAAGTAAAGGGTTTTCCTGAATACTGTAAGTCATTCTAGTGAATTATTGCACTGGGACCAGGGATGTTGTGGGAATCTCTGAATATATAACTGGTCAGTCAGAAGTACAGGAGACCCAGGACTTGCAACTGGTGTTTGCAGTGGGGGCAGTCTTGTGGGACTGAGTCCTTAACCCCTGGGGTCTTCACTAACCCTGAGTAGTTTGTGTCAGAAATGAATTGAATTGTTGGACATCCAGCTGGTGTCAGCGAATCAGACAGTTGATGGTTGGGAAAGACACCCCATATTTGCTGTCAAGAGAGTTGGTGGGGGAGAAGCACTCTCACCTGGAGAACTATTCCCAAGAAATAAGGGTAAATTAGAGGCAGACCAAACCACAAGAGAGCTGAAATCCTGCCTTCACCCTGGATTGGAGTAAAAAAATCAGTCACTACTTTATTGATCATTGGAAGAAGGGTGAGTTCTCTCAGGCAAAACTAATCTATTGTGTGAGAAATCAAAAGAGGGGTCACTCTTGAGGAGAGGACTGTAGTGGTTAAAAGGGGCACAAGATGAACTCATGGGGCTGCCAGTCATGATGGGTTTGGAACCAGGTGCTAGGTATACAGATGTGTTCAGTGTGTGAAAAATCATCAAGCAGACATTGACAATCTGTACCTTTTTTTCCATGAGTATATTACACTTTCAAAAAGAAGCATACATTTAAAATATTCCAAGTTTCGGTTCTGCTAAGATGGAGTAGCCCCATTCCTCCCAGGTTGTCCTTCTTACAGCTAAAGAACAACTGCCATGAACACAACAAACAAGCACAGGAAGACCTGGACAGGTGGGAAGAGGAAGGGTCCTTAGCACCTGAGGAGCAGCCTGGCAGAGTTCCTCAGGTTTCCTTGTAGCCTCCCATGTATCCCAGCCAGGGTGCTGCAGAAGCCTCCAATCCAGAACCCCCAACAGGCACAGATAAAAAGCTCCAAGAAAACCTATTACCCTGGGAAAAGGACCAGGACAGGAGTGACCAAACAACAGAAAACTTTGTTGGCAATACCTGCCTTACTCCAGCTGAATGCGAGTGGAAACATCATGCCCACCCAAACCCTGGGTTTTAGCAGGACTGAGCCAGAAATTGAGCCTGCACCCTCCTTCTTATGTCCTCCTCCACTTCACTGAAGCAGACAGTGCTTTGATTAATCCTTCAGGGAGATGCCAAGTGGAGAGGTAACCTTCCATTTCCCCCAGTGGAACTAGGCAGTGCTCCCGCTTCCTGCCAGGCTAGTGCTAGCTGGGCTGAGTAGGAAGCCAATCATCAATTATCTGGCCAGTGGAAGCAGTCAGTGCTCTAGCTCTTGACCAGGATAGCATCAGTAGGTTCCAGTGGGGAGCCGACCCTCCACCCACAACAAGGGGGTATGAGGTGGTACAAGGGGAAATAGTCAACACCCCGCTTTTCTGCTATCCCGGCGTAGTACGTCCTGGAGAGGTGCTGAGCCTCCAGCCCCACTTAGCATCATGAGAGGGAATGACTTCGGGTGGGCAGGGCTAGATGGCACTTCAGCTGCTTCCTTTCCCTTCCCTGCTATCATGGTGTCAGCAGGACCCTACGGGTAGCTGAGCTTCCTCCCACAGCCTGCAGCAATAAAAGAGTGTGAGTCAGCCCTATGCTTTGGCCCTCCTTGTGGCATCAAAGTCCCACAGGAAACTGAATGTAACACCCACACAGCCCTCTGTTACACCTTAAAGGGAGTTTTATTATTTCCTCCTTAATTCCTGAAGAATGATGAAAAAAATTAAATGAGATAAAGAGTTTTATAACATAATGTCCAAAATGTCCAGCATACAGTAAAAAATTATTCATATACCAAGAACCAGGAAAACCATACCATGCATAAGAATAGACAGTCAACACTGAGATGAATCAGATGTTAGAATTATCTGCCAAGGACTTTAAAGCAGCCATCATAAAGATGCTTCAATGAGCAATTTTGAATTCCCTTAAAGCAAATAAAAAAAAATTGAAACTCTCGGCAGAGAAATAGAACTTATAAAAGAAGAACTAAATGAAAATTATAGAAAGGAAAAATACAATAACACATAAAAATACCAGCTGGATGGATGCAACAGTAGAGCAGAAATGACATAAGATAGAATTAGAGAACTTGAAGAAACATCAATAGAATTTACCCAACCCAACCTGGTCAACAGAGAGAAAGTAGACTGAACAAATTAACAGAGTCTCAGGATCTGGGCAACAATAACAGAAGAACTAACATGTGTATAATTGGAGCTCCAGAAAGAGGAGGCAGAGACTGGTCCCCAACAACACTGAAAAAGTAAAAACTAAAAACTTCCTAAATTTGGCAAAAGATATAAACCTAGAGATTCAAGAAGCAGAGTGAATCCCAAATAGGATAAAGCCAAAGAAATTCATGACAGACACATCATAATTAAACTTGTGAAAACTAAAGATAAAAAAAAATCTTGAAGGTATCCAGAAGCAACACATTATCTCTAGGAAAACACCAATTTAAACAACAGAGAATGTCTCATCAGAAATCACGGAGGCAAGGAGGAAGTATTGCAACATTTTTCGAGTACTGTAAGAAAATAATTGTCAACTGCAAATTATATAGGCAAAGAAAATATTCTTCAGGAATTAAGGGGGAAATAATAAAATTCTCAAATGAGGGAAAAGTAAGAGAACTTTTGTCAGCACACTTACCTTAAGAATGGTTTAAGAAATTGCTCTAAATAGGAAGTGATAACAGAACAAGTATTGGAACTTCAGAAAAGAAAAACAAACAATGTAATGAGTAAAGATAACAGAGGATCCTCCTTCTCATGAGTTTCTTAAATAATATTTGATGGTAGAAGCAAAAATTATACCACCATCTAATGTGGTGCTCCATGTATGTAGAGAAAATGCTTACAAAAATAGTAGGAATGGTAAATAGACCCAAATGTAAGTAAGATTTCTAAACTTAACTCGTGTAGTAAAATGTCAATATTAGTAGACAGTGATAAACCATGCATGTATATTGAAATACCTAGAGCAACCATTAAAACAATTATACAAAGCCATATGCTAAAAATCACTAAAACAAATCAAGATGGAATTCTAAAAAATATTTAACTAACCCACAAGAAGGTGAGAAAGTAAAAGCGAGAAACGAGAAGCATAGGAAATGGACAGAAAACAAATTAATAAAATAGCAGACTTAAGTTCTAATGTATCTACGGTTACCCTAAATGTAAATGGTCTAAATAGACCAGATAAAAGAAAGAGATTGAAATTGGCAGAGTAGATTTAGAAAATGAGCAAAGAGTTCTTGCCTACAAGAAATTTGTTGCAAATACAAAAACATAGGTACGATGCAAGTAAAAGGGTTGAAAATTTATACCATAAAAAATTCACTGAAAGGCAGGACTGGCTCTACTAATATCAGAAAATTAACTTGAAAGCAAGGAAATGTATTACAGACAGAGGGACAATTAAATAATGACAAAATGACCAATCTATCAGGAAGACATAACAGTTGTAAAAGTGTATGCACCAAACAAGAGAGCTTCAAAATACAGAGACAAAAACCGATAGAGCTTAAACGAGAAATAGATAAATCCACAATTATAGTTGGGGACTTCAACATCCCAATCTCAGCAATTGATAGAACTACTACACAGAAAATCAGCAATGATATAAAAACACTCAGCACAAGCAACAGGATTTTATTGACATATATAAAATACTCTACCCAACAACAGAAAAATAAACATTTATTTCAAATGCCCATGGCATATTCACTGATAGACCATATCCTAGGACATAAAACAAACCTCAACAAATTTAAAATAATTAGAATTATACAATATGATCTCTGATTATAATGGACTCTAATGAGAAATCAGTAAGAGAAGGATAATTTTTAAAGTCTTTAAACAGTTGGAAGTTAAACCACATACTTCTAAATAACCCATGAGTCAAAGAGGAAGTCTCAAAAGAAGTTTAAAAAATACATGGAATGGAATGAAAATGAAAACAAAGAATATCAAAGCCTATGGGATGCAGCTAAAGCAGGGCTGAGAGGGAAATTTTATATGACAAAATGCTTAAATTATACAAAAGAAAGGATCTCAAGTAAATAATCTAAGTTCCTACTTCAAGAAATGAGAATAAGGTAGAAATATAAACTAACTGAAAGCAAGCAGAAGAAAGGAAATAATAACAATCAGAACAGAAATTAATGAAATTGAAAATATAAAAACAATAGAAAGAAATCAATAAAAAAATAATAAAATTGATAAACCTTTAGCCATACTGATAAAGAAGCCATAAATCGCCAATATAGAAAAAAACGGGCTATCACCACAAATACTGCAGACATTAAAATGATAAGGACATATAAATTCACACTGATAAATTTGTCCACTTAGAATGAATGAACTGATTCCTCTGAAACTACAAATTGACACACTGAACCAAGAAGAAAGAAATAATACAAATAGTCCTACAAC
This sequence comes from Homo sapiens, assembly GCF_000001405.40. Classification (NCBI taxonomy): domain Eukaryota; kingdom Metazoa; phylum Chordata; class Mammalia; order Primates; family Hominidae; genus Homo; species Homo sapiens. The sequence goes on from NC_000010.11 coordinate 78,494,876, forward strand.
CATTTGAAAAATTAAATATGGCTGGTGTGGTGGCTCACACCTGTAATCCCAGCACTTTGGGAGGCCGAGGCAGGCAGATCACTTGAGGTCAGGAGTTTGAGAGTTTGAGACCAGCCTGGCCAACATAATGAAACCCTGTCTCTACTAAAAATACAAAAATTAGCCAACCCTGGTGGCGGGGGCCTGTAATGCAAACTACTCAGGAGGCTGAGGCAGGAGAAGCACTTGAGTCCAGGAGGCGGAGATTGCAGTGAGCTGAGATTGTGCCACTGCACTCCAGCCTGGGCAACAGAGCGAGACTCTATCTCAAAATAAAATAAAATAAAATAAAATAAAATAAAATAAAATAAAATAAAATAAAAAACAATAAAATAAAAAATTAAATATATAACCTAAAATCTCCTAAAATATATATCCAGGTCCAGATGCCTTCACTGGTGAATTCTACCAAATAGTTAAATAGAAGAGGAGAGAACACTTTCCATTGTGTCAGACTAATATATTACCCAGACAAAGAGAGCACATTAAAAAGTACAGACCACTATCTCTCATGAACTTAGACCCCAAAATTTGTGACAAAATGTAAACAAATCAGGCTGGTGCAGTGACTCATGCCTGTAATCCCAGCACTTTGGGAAGCAGAGGCTGGCAGATCACTTGAGACCAGGAGTTCAAGACCAGACTGGCCAACATGATGAAACCCTGTCTCTACTAAAAATACAAAAATTAACCAGGCATGGTGGTGCGTGCCTGTAATCCCAGCTTCTTGGGAGGCTGTGGCACAAGAATTGCTTGAACCCAGGAGGCTGAGGTTATAGTGAGCCAAGATCATGCCACTTGCACTTCAGCGTGGGCAACAGAACGAGACTCCATCTCAAAAAAAAAAAAAAAAGTTAGCAAATGAAATCTTAAAAAGTATATATAGAAGTGAATACCATAACCAAGTGGGGTTTATTTTAGGTGTGTAAGGCTGGTTCAATACTTATAGATCACTCAGTGTAAGCCATCATAAAAACAAGCTGAATAATAAAATCAGATGATCATATCAATTTACACGAAGTAGTTTATAAAAATCTAACATTCATTCATGACAAATTAAAAACTCGGGGGTGGAGAAGTAAAGCAGAAAGAAAGGACAATTTTCTCAACTTGATAAAGAGCATCTACAAAAAACCTATAGCTAAAATCATACTTAACAGTGAAGGCTTAAATGATTTCCCTCTAATATTAAGAGAAAGGGAGAAGTAATTAATATATGCTCTCACCACTCTTATTCAACATATTACTGGAAGTCCTACTCATTGCAATAAAGCAGGAAAAAGAAATAAAAGACAGAAAGAAAACTCTCCCTAAGTGCAGATATATGATAATTTACATAGAAAATCCTGAGAAATGTAAAAAAGGAAAAACAAAACAGAAATAAAAGACAAAACACCAAAACCTACTAGAGATAACAAGTGAGTTCAAAAGATCCCAGGCTACAAAATGAACAAACAAAATCAGTCACTTTTTTGCCTACTAGCAATGGACATCTGAAAACCAAAATTTAAAACACAATACTATTTATAATTACTTCCAAAAAATGAAATACTTAGGTGTAAACTTAATAAAACATGTACAGGATGTGTATGCTCAAAATTACAATGTGCTACTAAAAGTAGTTAAGTTAAAGAAGGCTTAATTAAATGAAGAGACATATTGTTTTCTCTCTACTTAATTGATGAACATTTATTGAAAGACATGAACATACATTTCATTGAAAAGTATGTGTAAATTGCAAATAAGCCCATGGAAAGAGTTTCAATGTCATTAGCCATTAGGGAAATGCATGTTAAAACCAAAATGAGCTATCACTACACACCTATCAGAAGGCTAAAATAAAAATAGTGAAACACCAAATACTGACGAGGCTGCAGAGAAACTAGATCACTCCTACATTGCTGGTGGGAGTGAAAAATGGAAAACAGCTTGACAATTTCTCAAAAAATTAAATGTCCAACTATCATAATACCTAGAAATTGCTCTCTTGGGCATTTATTCCAGAGAAATGAAAACATTTTTACACAAAAACCTGTACATAAATGTTCTTAGCAGCTTTATTCATAATAGCCAAAAACTAGACACAACTCATATATTCCTTAATGGGTTAAATGAAGTTTGATACACACTTGGTAATATAATAAAGCCATGGATTATTGATACATGCAACAACATGGATGAATCTCCAGGGAACTGCACTGAGTGAGAAAAGACAATCCCAAATGGTTACATACTGCATGATTCCATTTATGTAACACTATTAAGATAACGGAATTATAGAAATGGGGAACAAATTAGTGGTTTCAGGGGTTAATGTGGGAATAGGGGCAAAGGAGAGTAGGTTTTTCTGTAAAATGGCAGCATGAAGGATCTCTATAGTGATGAAAATGCTCTATGTCATTTTGATTGTATCTTGATTGTAGCACTGTTAATATCCTGATTGTGATATTATACTAGATTTTGCAAGATGTTACTATGGTGGGAAACTGGGTAAAGCATATAAGGAATCTTTCTGTATTATATTTTTACAACTGCAGGCAAGCCCACTATTATCTCAAAAAGTTTAATTTAAAAATAAGTAATAATACAGGAACAAAATGATTAATGTTACAAAGTTAAAATATTTCCTATGAAGCTTCTGGATTTGGTACTCTGGAGAGTGGAGTAATAGCTCTTTGACATTTTCCCAATTTATTCTCTGATAATTAGTCTCATTATATTTTCTAACTCTATAAATTATACTTACACAGCAAAGTATTCATTTCACACAGGTTTTCAGGTTTATTTTCAGTGTTGACTTCATCTTTTATGGTTTGTTTTTCTTTGTGATTGTGTCTGCATTTTCATTTCTACTTTTGTGTATCTGTGATTTCACCAATTTTTTTTCTTTATTACTCTGCCTAGTTTTATTTTTTTCAAAAAAACCACAAAGATTTAGGGTTTTTCAATTTTTTGTTTTTTTAAGAAAATAAGATTTTGGGTTTTTTTCCCCCAAAGGATCTGCTTTTGAATGTACTAATTCCTCTGTCTCTTATTTTATAATTAATTTACTTCTGCTTTTATCCTTACTAATTCTTTCCTTCTGCTTTTCTCATGTTTAATATATTGTTCTTTGTGTAATTTTCAATTGAATTATTTTCATTTGTTCCTACTTAATGAGATAAACCAAGGCTGTGAAGTTTCTTCTGTGCGCTGCCTTAGCTGTACCCATGAGTTATCTCAGGCAGTGTTCTTGTTGCTGTTTCCTGGATATTCACTGTTAATTTTTTTGTTTGGACCATAGGTGCTCAGATGTGGGGTAGCCATACCACATGATTGATCCATACATGGAGCTTTTCTATTCTGTATGTATTTGTTGGTTGCTTGCTTTTAATACTAAACAAAAAGCTGTGAACCTACCACACAATGAGTCACTAGCACTCCAGTAGAAACTTGAGTCTATCTTTGGGATTCTGTCTTACTCCAGCCCCCTGTTGCTTTTCACCTCATTTGAGCTCATTAGAAATCTTGTGCTGATGCTTTACTTCCCAAACCCTGTTTTAAAAACAACTTGAGATAAAATTGAGATAAAATTCATATACCCTACAGTTCACCAATTTAAAGTGTACAAGTCAATGATTTTCTTACATTCACAACCAGTTGTGCAACCATCACTAACATCTAATTTTAGACCAATTTGGAGAATATTGTCATATTAACTGTATTATGTCTGCCAATCCATGAACATGAGACGTCTCCCCATTTACATTTTTTTCCACAATGTCTTGAAGTTTCAGTTGGTAAGTCTTGTATGTCTTTTGTTTAATTTATTGTTAGATATTTTCTTTCTGATGGAATTGTAAATGTAATTATTTTCCTAATTTCATTTTTAGATTGTTTATTGCTAGTTTATAGAGATATGATTGATTTTTGTATTGATCTTGTATCCTACAATTTTTCTAGAGTCATTTATTAATTCTAATAGATTGTTACTGGCTTCTTTAGGATTTTTCTGTACAAGATCATGTCATCTGCCTATAGAGATAGTTTTACTTCTTCCTTTCCAATCTAGATGCTTTTTTTTTCTTGCCTAATTGTTCTGGCTTGCACCTCCAGTACAACGTTGAAATTTATTTTATTTTATTTAACTTTATTTTATTTATTTTTTTTAGACAGTCTCACTCTGTTCCCCAGGCTGGAGTGCAGTGGCACAATCTTGGTTCACTGCAACCTCCACCTCCCAGGTTCAAGCGATTCTCTTGCCTCAGCCTCCCAAGTAGCTGGATTACAGGAGCACACCACCACATCCTGCTAATTTTTGTATTTTTTTGTAGAGATGGGGTTTCACCATGTTTCAGGCTGGTCTTGAACTCTTGGCCTCAAGCGATCTGCCTGCCTCAGCCTCGCAAAGTGCTGTGATTACAGGTGTGAGCCAGTGCACCTGGCTTCCAATGTTGAAGTGTTGAAAGTAGACATCCTTGTCTTGTTTCTAATATTGAGTTTTAAGTCTTTCATCATTAAGTATAATTTGAGCTGTCCCACCTCTGTTTTGAATGTAGTTTTGTTGCATCTGTCATTATTCTTCTAAAACTTATTTTTTTAGCACTTGCTTTTAATAATTTTAATAAAATTTATTTTATTTTGTTTCTATCAGTATATCATCTAGTACTTACTTTCTCCACTAAATGTGACATTTTGTAGATGTGGCCATATTGTTACATGTGGCCACGGTTTATTCATTTTGACTGTTATATAATATTTCATTGTATAAATATGCCACAACTTATTTAGCCTTTATTTTGTTTATGGATATCTTGATTGTTTTTATGTTTTGCTATTATAAAGAATGCTTCCATGAATATACTCACCAATTCTCCCTCAGTACATTTGCAAGAATTTCTCTTGGAATTACATTGAAGCATAAACTTGCTATGAGAATTGTATTAGTCCATTCTCATGCTGCTATCAAAGACATAACCAAGACTGTGTAATTTATAAAGGAAAGATGTTTAACTGACTCACAGTTCAGCATGGCTGGGGAGGCCTCAGGAAACTTACAATCATGGCAGAAGGGGAAATAAACACATCTTTCTTCACATGGCAGCAGCAAGGAGAAGTGCAAAACAAAAGCGAGGAAAGTGCCTTGTAAAACCATCGGATTTCTTGAGAACTCACTCTCTGTCATGAGAACAGCAGCATAAGAGTAACTGCACTCATGATTCAATTACCTCCCACTGGGTCCCACCCATGACTCGTGGGAATTATGGGACCCACAGCTCAAGATGAGAACCATATCCGAACCATATCCCAGCCGAATCATATCCCAGCAGTTTGGGAGGCTGAGGTGGGCGGATCACGAGGTCAGGAGTTCAAGACCAGCATGGCCAACATGGCAAAACCCTGTCTCTATTAAAAATACAAAAATTAGCCAGGCGTGGTGCTGGGTGCCTGTAATCCTAGCTACTCAGAAGGCTGAGGCAGAAGAATTGCTTGAACCTGGGAGGCAGAGGTTGCAGTGAGCCAAGATTGCACCACTGCACTCCAGCCTGGAATGTTCAATTTTGTAAGATAATGCCAAGTGGTTATCATGGCCCTACAAATTTGTATTTCCACTAGTAACATATAAAAGGTTTTGTTGATCCATAGTATCTCCATTCTTTTACATAGACTGTCTCTGATTTTTGCTCCTACAATGAGTATACGTCAGTATCAAAACTTGGGGCTTGGTTTGCATTTCCCTAATGACACAATGGGGCTGAACATCTCGTCATAGATGGGTTTCATTCAACATTGGTTGTTTCCTCTGGGGGGGTGTTAATTTCCCTGCACTTCTAAGCTGCACACATGTGTGGACCCTGAGAGCTCCCACTTGTACCAGTGAAGCCCAGGAGCGGAGGGAAAAAATGCACATGATTGTTGCATGCAGGTGCCGTTGCCTTGAAGTCAGTCCAAGCCCTAGGGAACTATCTATACCAGCATGGTAGAAATCAGAGGTAAGGCTGAGAAGACTTAATTGAGAAATAAGAGGCATATTCTACAAGCCTATATTTGTTGTTTCCCTCTTTGATCCAAAAATAATAATATTTTGGAATTGAACAATAAGAACACATGGACACAGGAGGGGGAACATCACACACCGGGGGAAGCGGGAGGGATAGCATTGGGAGATATACCTAATGCTAAATGACGAGTTAATGGGTGCAGCACACCAACATGACATATGTATAGATATGTAACAAACCTGCACGTTGTGCACATGTACCCTAAAACTTAAAGTATAATAATAATAAAAAAAATTAGCATTATGTGTTAAAATTGAAAGGGAATAAGATAAAATTTACATACACATACACATAAAAACTTGATATTTTATGTTAGTGGCTAGTGTATATTATGTATATATATAAAATGTCAATGAATAAAGTTAATTCAAGTTTAGTAAAAAAAAATATTAGTTTATCCTATTATATTTAATGATAAAACCAACATAGATTTTGTTTCAGTTCTATCACACTTTACATTATACATTTTGATTTTAATGCTTCCTTTAAAAATCCTTTATTCATGGTCCATATTTTCATAGTTTGCTTTATGTATTGGTTTTCCCTCTAATAAGAAGGTTTATGGGGTATTTTTAGTTCTTTAGTGGTTGCCTTGTAACTATATACAATATTCTTTTATGTCTTATTTATTGAGTTATGACTAAGAGACCCTCACCAAGAACAAAGGGAAGTCAGTTTACTTCCTCTACCTCACTTTCTCCAATGTCTTATTTGGGTATATTATATTTTATTCTTTTATATTTTAAATACTATTCTTCTCCATTGATTGCTTGATTTCTCAGCTTCTTATATGTTGATTCCCTCCTTCACATGTGAGTATTTGTTGATACTTATCTTTCTTGGAACTCAAGCTACAGTGTTGATATAAGAGCTAATATATTTCTTCAATTCTGGAGGATCATCAGCTGATAACTCTTCAAATATTCCTTCTCTCCACCTTCTCTGTTTCTCCCTCTAGAACTTCTGTTAGACATAGTTGGAAACCCTTGTTCTGGGTTCCACTTGCCTCTAATGCTTGGTTGTTTTTTACTCCAAGTTCATATTCAGAAGGTACCGTTTCCCACCTGGGAGGTACAGGTTTCACATTCACCTCTGCCATAGCTGGAAGGGTTTCCCTCAATCCAGGCGGGTTTTATTGTAATTCTTTTCCTTGGGGCCTCATACCTGGGTCCCTGTGAGTAGCACAGCTTTAGAGACCTCTGATGTTTTGATTATTTTTATGGCTTTGCTCTTATGAAGAGTGCTTCCATGAATGTACTCACCAATTCTCCCTGTGTACATTTGTGGTGCAGATTTAGAGTCCAGATTTCTCTCTGATGTCTCCTCTCTCACTCATGGCCTGGGGAGGTAGGCCCACTTTTGTGAGTGGTGGGTGGTGGTTTTCTGCTTTCATTTTACTGAAGGGACAGCTTTTCCAGGCTCCTGCCTCTAAGCAGAAAGATGACTCATATCCTCTTTTGTGCTCAGGGCCTGTTGTATAGGCCCCCGGTCCCTCATGGATACTAAAACAGGAGCATTTTGTCCAGCTCTTATACCTCTGTGGGCCTTTGGCGTTAGCTCCTGCTCACTGCTCTGGCTTTAAGAGTTTTGTTTGTTTGTTTGTTTCTGGCATGGGAGAATGCTTCCTTTCTGCTTTTGAGTTCACCAATGTGGTCATAAATCTGCTTGGGTTATATGTTAGCCGGCAATTCACCGTGTTTGTAGTGGGCATGATGGTATTGGTGGAGGTGGGGAGGGTGCTTCCCCAGCAGCTTGGTGCTGCAGGGACAGCAGAATGGATGGTGATGCTGGCTGGAGAGGCTGCCCTTGGGCCTGAGCAGCTGGTAAGACTGCTGAATTGCAGGAGTCCTGGAGGAGCCTGCGAAGAGAGGCCTGGGATAATAGCAAGGAACAGAGGGGAGCAGCATGGTAGCACTGGGGGACTTCAGAGGCATGTGGCCCCGAGAACTTCTGTGGGGCATGACTAATACTCAAACCTGAGTGACCCAGCAGACTGGGCTGTCCTTGCCATGGCATTCAGGAACAGCCCTGGTACGTTCAGCTGCCTTCTTTGAGTAGTATTTTGGGGAAATAAATGAAAGGGGTCTATCTTCCACATTAGAGACCATCCAAAATGCAAAGACAAAAGTAGGGATATTGACAATTTTTCAGAAACAAGAAATTGAAACAGGAGGTGACCTTGAATGCCAACTCTCAAGAATTTTCAGAAATCTTGGAGAGGACACTGAACCTCCTATAGGGTGGAAAGTAGGTTTGAGCTAAGTTTACTACTCAAGGGGTAGGGGACCCAGATGACCTCTAGGTTACAAATAACCATCACATTCCTTTCCTTGTTTAGTATACATGGCAGTGCTGTGAACAAATTAAATTATCCCCATCTTCTGCAGCAGTGATTCTCAACCGGGGATGATTTTGTTCCTTATGGGCTATTTGGCAATATATGGAGGCATTTTTGATTGTCACAACTAGGGAGAGGGGAGAATGTTACTGGCACCTGGTGGGTAGAGGCCAGGGATGTTGCTAAACATCTTACAAGTCACAGAACAGCCTCTCACAGCAAGGAATTATCTGGCCCTAAGTGTTAATAGTGCCCACATTGAGAAACCTTTATCTAGGCTCAGGTAACTATGGCTCAGTCTTCAAATAACCTGTGTTAAGTCCCAAAGCTAGAACATTTGCAAGAATAATTATAGCTTACTTTAGTTAACTGCTCTTTCTGTGCAGGGAATTGTTGTAAGTACGTTCTGTGTACTGCTACTATCACCCTGTTGTATAGATGTGGAAACCAAGAAGCAGAAAGGGTCAGTGTCACCAGGTACCACACAGGTGCATGGGTCAAACTGGGACACACACCCAGCAGAAGTCTCCAGAGGCTGTGCTCTCACCCACTGGGCTGTACTTCTCAGAAGGGCTTGAATGTGAGTCTAGGTTTTCTGCTCTGTCCTAAGCTCTATTCTGTACCTCACCTCCTTTTATAAGTTTATAGCTCAAGACATAGGCTCAGAACACATAAAGCTCTGCGTCAACTTAACCACGGGCAAAAAGTTTTTTTGAATGTAGCAAAAGGGGAACTTTGTGTCTTTGTGTCTTTCCTAGGGGAACCCTGGAGCCCCACGGCAGATGTCACAGATTGGCTTGCTCACCTCTGTCTTAGTCTCCTGGAGGCAGTGAGGCCCTGCAGCTAGCACCTGGGATAACAGCATCCATCTAATCTCCAGGTCATAGCAGAAATAATGCAGTTCTTGGAAACAGCAGTTGGGTCCCCCAGCTTTCTGATTATGGTGGAGGGAGCAGCTTCTCTGGCAAGAAACTTTGGCAGTGACATTCTGGGACTCTTTCCTCGAAGCTGAGCCTGCAGCCTCCTCCCCCAGCCCTTCCATGGGGTCATAATCCCCTAATTCCCTGCATTAAATCCCTTTCTGGTGAAGCCAGCCAGAGTGGTGTCTATGATCTGCTGCTGCACGTGGACTGATATGTGGCCCAATGAGGGAAAAGAAGGAGGACCATTGGAGGACATTCCTCTCCAGGGGCAGGTCGCTAGGCAGGAACCTGGGATCCTGGGAAAAGCATGGGATCCTATCAGTTTTTTCCTCTTGAGATCCACAAAGGTATATAGGAAAGGATGTGGAGATAGCCATGGGTGATCGGGGTTTCTAATCGCAACTCTTCTCATCACTTGATGCATGCACATTGGCCATCCTGTGCCCCTTCCTTAGACTCAGGCATCCCCAACAGTCCCACTCTCATCTCTGACATTCTGTGGCATCGAGTCTCCAGTTACCAAGGGAGCTTTTTGGTAGTGGAGAAGCAGGCTGAGATTTAGAGTAGACCCCTCTTTAAATGTCACCGTGCAGTGCTTTCCTGTTTAAAGGGAGATTGACAGCCACAAGCAACCTAATGAGATTGCTGCTCTGCCCCTTCTCTTAGCAGATAGAGAATCTCGCAGGCTGGAAAGCAAGAGGTGCCTTGGGGAAAGGAGGCAGGAGCAAGTGGCGCCATTTACCAACTAGTCCCAGGTCTGCACCCGACAGGAGGCAATTATTCACGCCAATGCTTCTGAAGAAAGTGGCACTTGAGCTGGGGGGCCCTAGTGAAGCTTGCTGCTGGCTCCCCAGGACCACCTCCCCTTATCTCTGGCCCACCGTGGCTCTGAGAGAAAGACCAGTGGAAAGAGTGGCTGCTGGAAGGGTAGAAAGATCTCAGGACTGGGGCAGGGACCTGGTTCTAGTCTTTGCTCTGCCGCTGGCTTGTTGTGTGATCTGGGGCAGCCCATTCATCTCTATGGGCCTGTGTTACCTTTACAAAGTAAGGAAAATGGGTAAAGGGCAGGGCCTATCTGCTTTGTTTAACCCTTTATTCCCAGCATCTGGAAGAGTGCCTGGCACACAGCAAGTCTTCAATCAGTGTTATTAGTGGAAAGAATGAAATGGAATCTGCAGCAATGGAAAGACAGGGGGATGATTTTAAGCACAAAGGAAGGCCAAGTTCTGTCAGTTGCTTTAGATAAACCACTGTGGCTACCATGTGGAGGACAAGATTGAGACGACTAGAACCAGGACAACTAGTAAGGAAGCTCCTGCAGGAAGATCTGTTTAAAACAAGACAGTGAGCTGAGTGCTATAGGATTTGCAGGCTAGGGTTTACACCTTGCAAATACTTTTGCATACTTTGGCACATACACACACATTACCTGATGCCATCTTTACAAAGGCCTGGAGAAGGAGACAGGGCAGGGATTGGTACTCGGCTTTTCCAGACACGGAAATTAAGATCCAGAGTCGTAGAGTGCCTTGTGCAAGCATGAAGCTGAAAAGTGGCAGACTCAAGACTCAGATTGGGACGTGAGAAGACACTGAACATCACTAGTCACCAGGGAAATGCAAGTCAAAACCACAATGAAACACTCCCCATAGAATGACTCAAATTAAAAATACTGACTATGTCACATATTGGCAAGAATGTGTAGGAAATGGAGCTCTCATACACTGCTTGTGGGGATGTAGAATGGTACAACCACTTTGGAAAACAGACTGGCAGTTTCTTATAGGTTTAAACATCCATGTACCATGTGATCCAGAAATTCCACTCTGTATATTTACTCAAGAAAAATTAAAATGTGTGTTCACACAAAGCCTTGTTTGTAAATGTTCATATAGCCACTTTATTTTTAAAAATCCAAAAAGCTATAAACAACCAGATTGTCTATCAACAGGTGAATTAATAAACAAATTGTAGTATGGCTGCACAATATAATATTACTCAGCAATGAAAAAGAGTGCATAACTGATACAGTCCACAAGGAGGAATCTCAGAAACAGAATTCTGAGCCTAAGAAACCAGGCCCCAAAGACTAGAAGCAATATCATATAATTCCATGTACACGAAACTAGAAAAGTCCAATCTAATCCATAGTGACAGAAAGCAGAATGTGGTTGTCTGGGCCAGAGGTGGAGAGAGAGATTGAATGCAAGGGGGAAGGAGGGAGCTTCGGGGAGAGGGGTGCAGGAAATGTTCTGAATTCTAATTTTAGTGGGAGATGCATAGGTGTTTACATTTATCCGAGCTTGTCAAAGTATGCTTTCCGTGGTTCATTATATTAAAATTATAAAAGTTGACTTAAGAAAGCAGCTGACTCCTCCTCCAGGGCCTTTGTGGCTTATCCTGGTTCCCTCAGAACCAGGAAGATGCACAAGGCCCATGGCCACTCACCTAACCAGGGCCAGAGAGCCTGACCCAGAGCACCTGCAGGGCTCTCCCTGAGGGTGAGAACTGCTGAGCCAGGGGGCATCAAGGCTACTTCCTTAGCCTGTTCCTCTTTACACTTCCACATCCACATGTCAACCTTGGTGAGGAGGCCTTGCAGAATGGAACAGCTGTGCCATCTCCTCAGAGACAGCACTCTGGCTCCAGGCTCAGAGATGGCCACCTATCCCCGAAATAACCTGGTGGTATTAGGGGTGGCTGGCCTTTGCTCCAGGAAGGCCCCATCAACACAGAAACAGGCAACATAGACCACCGCCTCCATTAACCTTGGCTCCTAAAGGCTTGAGGCCAGAGGTCCAAAGTCAGGCCTGGGGTCTGTTGTCCTTGTAAAACTCAGAAAGTGTACCCTGAGGCACCAGCCTTTGGGAATTCTGGGCATCCTTCCCTCTCTCCTGCCTCAGGTAAATGCCCTTGCGAGGAAAGTTGCAGTTACCAACATTCACACTTAGAAGTGCTTGGTATCTGAAAGAAAATGCTCCATACTCAATGGGAAGGAAAGTTCCAGGAAGAAAGGAGAGAGCATCAGAGCACCCACTGGTGCGGAGTGAGGTCACTGAGGTAGAAAAAGGCTCAGGTATGGGCTGGCACTGAGGTTTGAGGTGAGGCCAGGGCCTTTTGGTAGGCTGCCTGGATTTTGCAGCTCCTCTGCGTAAAACTTCTCTGCATCCTTTGACCTGTGCCTGGAGGACAGAAGTGTCTCCCCTCCTCCAGGGTCTAAGGCTTGTCAGGATCTAGCTGCAGCTGCCCTCTGCCACTCTTGTTCACATTGCCTTTGCTCTTTCCTGCCTCTGTGCCTCAGCCCATGCTGTTCCTTCCAACTGGGATACCCTTCCCTCATTTCTCCATGTGGCAGTTCTAATTTACATTCCAGTCTCCACTCCAGAGACTTCTGAGAAGCCTTCCCTGATCCTCCCGGCAGAATTAATTGTTCCCTCCTCTGTGCTCAGAGAACACTTGGCTTGCTCTGCCATTTATTTCTGGGTTTGTTTTCATGACAACCTCCTTTCACGAGGGCAGACCCTGTGTCTTTTTAAGTTCTTATCCTGAGCACTTGTACAGACTGGACACCGAGGCAATGCCTGTAGAGGCAATGAGTGCCCTCCGTCTTATGTGGACATCTCTGTGGACACCAGCGTGCTAGGCAGACAGGCCCTGCCTGCATGTGGGCAACTGAACCCTAGCCCTGGGGCAGGACCCTGGGGCTTAGTTCTATAAGCCAGACTGCACAGCCAAAAAAGGGCAGTCTTGGAAGCAGGAATCCGCTCTGCTAAGCCTCTGATATTTACCAGACTGACAGTTTCCCAGCCAAAGCAGCCCAGAGACAGGGAATAGCTGGAGAAAGTGGGTCATCTTGACTCTTATTCAAGGCACCAGGGGAGCCCTGGGGTTTAGCCGTGGCAGCGATGGAGACTGATCCTGTCATTTGCTTGCATCCAAATGAAAGGGATTAGTGGCTGCACCAATATACTAATTTTCTATGCAACACAGGGCAAGGGCAGCCAGTGGAGATTTAAAAACTCTGTGTGTGTACATGCATGTATGTGCATACATGTATGTATATTATAAATACATATATACTATCTATGCCCACATCACATGTACAATGTTCAAGTGAAAATATCTACATGTATCTGACAGGATGGAGAAAAGGCTTTAAGAGCTTTAGAGCTGGAAGTCTCCAGTTTGAGTCCCAGCATTGACTCAGGACCCCTACCCTCCATGAGCCTCAGTTTCTTCATCTGGAACGCAGACATGGTGACTGTCCTCACTGGAAGGCTGTACAGACCAAAGTGTCAGTGAGTGTGACAGTGAAGGGACCTGCTATAGGCATCCACGGTGATCTTCAGAAGCAGTTTCTGCTTCCAAGTTGGATTTCCTGGCATAGATCACATTCAGGTCTCAGCTCATGCTCAAGGTCCACTTGCAAATCACACAACTCCAACCCCAAAAGGGAGCCAGGAGTGACATTACCCCTGAAGGTGACAGATGCACCTGTGCATCACAGAGCTAGCTCTAGCATATTCTGTGACCTTGGGCAACAATCTTCCCCCATCTTGTCCTCAGTTTCCCCACTTGTACAATGATAGCTTTGGCTACCTCTTCATTCTTCATATCTTAGAGCCCTTTTGGAGCAGGGAGGGAGGTAAAGCTCTGGGTGCATGCCTGGGCAAGGATAGACATAGCAGGGCAGGCTCAGTGGACAGGGGAATGGCCCCAAAGCTGGGACAAAGTCAGATTGCCAAAGGCACCACTTTTATTTCATCCTTCGCTAATATTCTGTTCTTTGGCCTCACAGCCACCACCTCCTCCTCCCAGTCACAGAAGAAGCAACTTTAAAATTAGGTTTTCCTCTTAACTTAGAAACTAAGCCCCATTGTGTGGTCCATGACAACCTCCTTTATGAATGAAACCAGCTCATAATGAGGCCCTTTCCCAGCATCAAGAGCCAAGCCCACGCCCTCCCTTTTCTGCTTGGCCAACGGCAATGGCAGCAGAGCCTCTTTATTCATTTCTCCTGCTCCATGGAAGGGAGGGGGAGAGGGAAATGATCATTTTCCCATTTCACAGATGGACAAGGGCCTCCCCGCCACAGCCCTATGGCTCCCAGCATTTGAGGGCTACCCATTACCTCTGCCTTACAAAGTCCTTACTGCATGATGGGACTTCAGTCCCCTTTCCCGTGTCATCCTCTGCCATACCCCCTTGCTCCTCTGCACCTAGATGGGAGAAAATGTCCATGCTTCCCAGGCAGATTCTTCTTTATGGCCTATAAAACTCCTCTAACTAATTCTAGGCTCAGCTTCAACATTGCCTCTCCAGTGTGCGTAAGTGGCTCCACCTCTGTCCTGGCCCTACCCCTTGGATACCATTTACAGGGCACATCTAACTATGTAGTTGCTCATTTAACTCTCTCCTGCCCTGCATGTGGGAGCTCTGTCAGAGCAGGGCCCCTGCCTCATCCCTCCTCATCCCCCAGCCCCAGCACACACTCTGGACTTAGAAAAGCCCCAAAGAATGTTTGTTGATGAGAGAGTCCTTATGGTATCAGTGAGAACTGAATACTGTGGGGCTTCCCGTGTCCCAGGAGCAAGTGCAGGGGCCTGGCTTCATTCTTTGAGGATGTCTTTAAAGAGTCCATAGATCTATGTTGCCCCCAACTCCAAAGTTGAACCTATTTCCAGACACCCTCCTGAATCTCTCTTGATTGGGACAGGATGGGATCTGTCCTAGTCTGTTCAGGTTACTATAACAAAGTACTATAGACTGGGTGGCTTATAGACAACAGAAAGTTATTACTCACAGTTCTGGAGGCTGGAAGTTCAAGATCAAGGTGGTGGCAGGTGTGATGTCTGATGACAGCCCACTTTCTTGTTCATACATTCATAGATAGCGCCTTGTAGCTATGACCTCACATGGCAGAAGGTGCAAACAGTTCCTTCAGGCCTCTCTTATGGTTGCATTCATGAGGGCTCCACTCTCATGACCTAGTCACTTTCCAAAGGCCCCACCTCCTAATACTATTGCACTGGAGATTAGGGATCGACATATAAATTTTGGGGAAACACAGACATTGAAATCGTAGTAGGAGCTCAGCTCAGTTTCATCTGGGATTCCTCTTGGGCCCCACCTCCTATCCTTTTCCTACAACTTTTAACCCAGAGACAGAGAGATGAAGAGAGGCCAAGAAACTGAGAGAGGGAGGGAAAAAATACAAAGAAGAGAGACATAGGATAAGACAAAGACAGAAATGAAGACACAAAGAGATGAGGGAGAAAAGGAATAGAAGGAAAGGGAGAGTGAGGAGACAGAGAAAGAAAAGGAAAGAATGCCATTCAGCAGGAGGAGAGGGAAGAGCAGACCCCTGGGCCTGGGTGGCCTTGCAGCCGTGGAGGGGAGCCCGCCAGCCTGGCAGCCAGCGTCTGCCTCCTGCACAGGGCCCAGAAAGAGGCAGTAGCAGCTGGGCCGAGCATTTGGCTGTCTGCTGAGCCCAAGCCTCTGTGCCTGACCTTAGCCCAGCTGCTCAAATCCTCCTGCCCTCCTGCCTGCAGCTGCCCCTGCACTCCCAAGACCCAGAGGCTGGGGAGTGGAGAGTGGAGCCCGCCCTCTTGGTCAGCTCTGTCAGAGAGGCAGGAGCCCCATCACATGCCACCAGCGGGGCCCAGCCAGAAACCCATTTTATTTGGCTTGGAGATGAGACATGTGTTTTTTGTGACAGTGGATCTCCTTTCTAGTTAGAAACTTACTACGAGTAAGTTTTGAAATCAGCCTCATTTCTTGAACTCAGCATACAGGAAGAACAGTGCCTCGCGTTGGTGTGGTGCTTTTCAGGTTTCAAGACACCTCCGCTGGTGCTATTTCTTAGATGCACTTTCCATAACATCTCCACCTAGTGGGTATCACCCCAGCAACGAGTGGGATCCTGGGAGGGTAAGAGACTTATCCAGGCACAGTCAGCCTCTAAGTGGCAGAGCCAGGACCTACATCCAGACTTGGAAGTGCTGAGTTTCACCTACACTGCCACCCTGACTCTGTGGTCCAGCCCTGGCTGGTTAGTTGGGGGCAAGCTGTAGGTGGGCTGCAGGAATAAGGGTGGAAGGTGTCCGGCTGGGGTATAAGGTCAGCGTCCTTTTGCTCCTATTTTATGGAGACCACAGTCATAAATTTAGGGATGCAGGGTGAGTCAGCCCACATAATGTTTAAAGCAATGAAGATCTTTTCAAATTTTTTCCCCTGAAGGCCTAGCCATTCTTCGTGCTTTACTGCTCTTAATTGGGATCAGAGCCCAGAAGCTTGCTGGGTGGCTGGGGAAAGATAGAGCCCAGGGACCTAAAACATGGTCAGAAATAATCGACATGTAATGAGATCAGGGAAACATTTCCTCAAGTTCCTCTCAGGACAAAAGCTGAGCTCTCCATGGGTCTGAGTGGAGGTGGAATGACCCAACAGGAGGAACAGGGAGGGGATTTGCAGGATGGGACCAGGAAGGAGAAGAAGGAGGGGATGGAAGAACCAGAGCTTGGGGTGTTTGTTGGACTGTGAGGTTAGTGACGTGACCCTGTCCTTCCCACAGTGGCCTCAGCACAGTTACATTTATGACATGTGAGCTTCTGGGGGCATCAGATTGGTCTGGGGATGTTTGCATGATTCTTCTGGGAAAAAGTCAAGGCCGGGGATCTCTGGAGGATTACATGTCTTGGAGTTGGGGGTTACAGCCAAGTGTGCCTGAATACTCAGGGCCCAAAAGCCCTGGCTGACATCTGGCTTATTGATACATGAAAAATATGGGCAGGATGCAGAGCTGGAGGCAACTGGGAATGTACTGGAGGTGAATGAATCAGGATCCAAGAGAGCCTGCCAGGCTGAAGTAGGGCTAAGTTTGTTATGTTGAAATTTACTTGGTGCAGGTCAAGATAGCTCATGAGGCTGACACAAGATCATCCCTCCCTTTCCAGGCGCCTCTAAATACCTGATGAAGAAAAAGCAAGGGAAGGAGGAGAGGAAGAGGGAGAGAGGGTTGAAGCCACACAGGCAATGAGGCACCAGAGCAGTATGTGTCTTAGGAGCTGGGTGGGAGTGGGAGTTGGGAAGGTCTCTGGCCCTGCAACTGGGCTCCCCAGAGAGAGCTGGCAGCCAAGGAAGGACTTAAGGTCATCCACGTTTGGAAGCCAGAGCCTCTCTGCCTGTGGGAGATGGAATGATTGGCTCCAATTATTTAGCCCTCTCTGCATCGACATGCCTGCCATGGCCTCATCGTGGGTGGAATATTTTTCCATGCCCCTTCACTTTGGGCTCAGCTGTGTAACTGGCTTTGGACAACATGCCAGATGCCTGAAGAAAGATCCAGAAAGATGGTCAGAGCCTGGAGCCAGGCTAAATCTGTAAGGAAGAAGTCTAATTGGGACTGGAGACTTCTGGCCAACATGGTGGACAAAGCTAACCTGTGGTGGGCGGTGGCAGTGAGCCCATTCGAGGCTGGGTCTCTCTTGGGCCCACTTGCTCTCTCGAGTCTCTGCCAACATCTTGAAAGGCACATGCCTGGCTAGCCTGCTGGTCCAAGGAGGATGAGACACAGGGAGCAGAGCTACCCAGGCCGACCATGGATGGGTATTCAACCATCCCGGTTTTCCCAGGACCAAGGCATATCCTGGGACTTGGGACTTTCAGCACTCAAACTAAGAAAGTCCTGGGCTAACTGGGAAAAGCGGGTCACCCTACCCACACACCTGCAGTTAGTAGCATGGCTAACCCAGCTCCATAATCTAGGAGGGCCACCAAGCCACCATGGCCTAGGTTGGCCAGCACAGTGTTTATTATTGTATTCACTCAGATTTTGTGGTTGTTTGTTACACAGCAATGTTGTGGCAGTAGCCAATAGGTACCTTGCCCATGAGCCCAGAGTCACAGTCAGAAGTGAGCTGACTACACCGATGGATCCCAGAGCGTGGTTGAAAAATAAATAAATAAAATTCACTTCTTAATAGATGTAGTAAACCAGTGGCTCTCCATCCTAATGGCATATTAGAATTGCCTGGGAAGCATAAAAAAAAGACCTGACACCCACAAAATAGACTCCCCAGAGAGTCTTTTCAAGTCTTCTGGAAAGGGGTCTTGGAATCAGAGATTGTATCAAAAGTACACTGGGTGATACTAATGTGCAGGCAGATTTGAAAGCTGATGGGTTAAATAGTAGGTGAGACACAGCTGAAAGAACAGTGATGTTTAATTTGGCAAATGTAAGTGTCAACACCTGACTCAACACATACCAACTGCCCCCAACCCAGGCTGGGAGATGCAGTGTGGGAACAGTTCCCGTGAAGACAACTCTGAGATCTGGGTGGACCCAGGATCCTTTGTGTGGTCAGGGTTCTGCAGCTCTAAAGAATGCTTAGGAGAGAGAGGTGAGAGTCCTGCCCTGCATTCCTGAGAGAGAGCTGCATTCTGGAACCTCTACTCTAAGAGCTACGTGGACAGTGGGAGGTGTCTAGGCCAGTGCTTCCCACACTTCATGTGGCCAGGAAACATTTGGGGATCTTGTTTTTGTTGTTGTTGTTGTTGTTGTTTTTGTTTGTTTGTTTGTTTTAGAGATAGGGTCTCACTCTGTAGCCCAGGCTGGAGTACAGTGGCACAATCATGGCTCACATTGCAACCTTAACCTCCTCAGCCTCTTGAGTAGCTGGGACTACAGGTACATGCCATCATACTCTGCTAATTTTAAAATTTTTTTGTGGTGACTACATCTTGCTGTGTTGCCCAGGCTAGTCTTGAATTCTTGGCCTTTTAAGCAATCCTCCTGCCTCAGCCTCCCAAAGCCCTGGGATTACAGGCATGAGCACCACACTGGGCCTGGGGATCTTAAGATGTAGATAATGATTCAGGAGGTCTGGGGCAGGCCTGATACGCTGCATTTCTACATGATCGCAGGTGATATCCATGCTGCCAGAGCATTCTTTGAGCAGCAAGGGGGCTGGAGGTGAGGAGATGGGACACTGAGTTCCGTGAAGAAAGCTGATAGCCTTGGACTGTTCATGCCCAGATGGAGAAGATTCACAGGGGGCCTCCCATTCTAGAAGGGCTGTCAAGGTGTAGAGGGGTTTAACATGGTCCAAAGGGCAGATCTGGAGCAGAGAGGGGACATCACACTTAGATGTTGAGACAAAGCCCATGATGGAATAACCACCGTGGGAGGTAGTGAGCTGCCCATCACAGCAGGGCTTTAGCCAGAGGCTCGATGACTGCTTGGTGAGAGGGCCATGGAGAGGCCCCAAGTGGCAGCCATCTATGCAGTCTTCAAGGGCTCTTCTTGCCTCAGAGTCATTAATTTTTGGGCGTTTTTACTTCTGGAAGAAATGATTCAGAATAAGTGGAGAACACTGGGGTTGGTGATGCAGAGGACCCACCACAAGGCCTCCCTCCTGAGCACACAGAAAGCTCATGCCCTGCTGGACAGCCAGGCAGGCTCAGCCATGCAGGTTGGGTTCGCTCTCTGGGTTCGCTGTCTGGCTAGGACGAGCTGTGGTCTTTTCAGAATGGACATCACATTCCTGGTCAGCAGAAGCTATCTCTTTGGCTAAACCACTTAGCTCTGGACAAAGCAAGTTCCAGATTCTAGAAAAATAAAATTAATTGACATTTGTGCTCAGTGCTTATGCTGGTAGCAAGATTCTGGTCTCATGACAATCATTGCTACTGGGCAAGTCCCATCCTTCTTCAGTCCTCAGTTTTCTACTCTGTACCATGGAATTGGTGTGGACAGTCCCTCTAGCTCACTTTCTACAGCCCTATGGAAAATATCTTCAGCCGTAAAAGGCACTGTTTAGCGTTCAGACCTCAACAGAGGAGTGAAAATTTGGCTGATTCAGAGGAAACAAGAGGTCAGTGTGACCTTTCTCTGCTTCTCTATGGGAAGGAGTTTACAACCACGGTGCCAGGGGCAGGAGGCTGCAGATGCAGCCAGCCTGTGCTGGGCACTTCTGCTGCCCTGGGCTTTGAGTCAAGCAGAGCACTTTAGCCCCCGAGGGCAGGTCCATCTGGAGCTCCAGACAGCGCTCTTCCTGGCTTCTCCTGCCACCCTTTCCTCTGGTCCAGGCCCAAGCCTGCTCAGACCTCAGCAATGAGGGCCAGCAGGGAGGGGAGGCAATGTGGGTAGGGAGTGGCTGAGAGCTACAGCTCACTGTCAGGGAGGAGGGGGAGAGGGAGGGCCCAGGGCCTCCAAGCCCTATGTCCAACATGCAGAATGAAGAGCAAAGGCTTGGTGCTGACTTGGTGGCTAGGGAATCGGATGCTGTATTTGCAGGATGCACCGAGTCTGCTCAAGTAACCAGACTCCATAGCTTAATACAATAAAGGTTTATTTCTGGCTTACATGCCAGTCCCTGCAGGAGCTGGTAAAGGGCTCTGCTCCACGTACTGTCTCAGAGATCCAGCCTGGTGAGACCCCTCATCATCTAGTGATGCTGCCATTGCAAAAGGTGGCTTACCAAGGAAGGGGGAGAGACTGTGTTAAAAGCATGCCTGTCCTTACACGCCCTATACTCGGGTGACACAGATCACCACCAAATGGCCAATAGTCACTGACTACCAGGGGCAGGAATGTCTTCCGCATGCCTCTAAAGGAGAGGACAACTGGATTTTGTGCCACAAAGGAACACCCATAATCCCTGCCATGTAGAGAGACTTTCCACTGCCAGGCAGCGTGTAGAGCATCCTCTGTGAATGATCACATTTACTTCTCAGCTGGAGATTCATATCATTACACCTGTTTTCCTGATAGACAGATTAAGGCCCTGAAATGTGATTTCCTGACATCATACAGCCAGGATGTGCCAGAGATGAGATTTGAACTCCATTCTACCTTATTCTGTTCAAGCCTAGGTTCTCCAACATTAAATTCCCACTCAAGGGAAGTGTCAGGTTCCTGACAGTTTGGGAGAGTCCCTGGGCATGCAAGAGACATAGCCACTCACTCAGTTTGGTTTCCAGGTAGGACCTCAATCCTCTCCACCCCAGAAAACAGAATTTGAGGGTTTCTGTAGTCAAGGAGATCCTGTATGGAGGAAGCCCTACATTTTGAGCAGGGCTGGCCCAGCATGGGTGAGCTGGACTTGGAAGTCCCAGACTCATTTCTGCCAGTCTGTCAGGTTTGATGTTGAGGGTCCCTCACAGCCCCACCCCTTGGGCAGAGCTGTGGATATACCTCCTGCCCTGTGTGCAGCTGGCGCAGGCATGGGGACCTGGTGGGAATTTTGGCTGGGAAGGGCTGGTGATGGCACAGCAGGAGCAGACAGCTCTATAAAGAAGGAAGCTTTGGTCAGAGAATTTTGGGTCCAGTGGGAGCGGCTCCCATAGCCCCTCCCCTGGCACACAGGGCACTGCAGCCACCATGAGAATTCCCGAAGCTCCCTGTGCCTTGAGCCCAACTGCGTCTAGAGCTCCACAGCTGCGCCTGATGGAAAAGCAAGGTGAAGCCTCTTTCTGCATTTTGGAGCATTTCTGTCAAAACAAAAGGAGCTGGAAAAAAGCGAATCCTATTGAAGCCCAGGCAGAGATGGAGTAAACAGTGCCTTTTACGGCTGAAGATATTAAAAGGCCACTTGGTAACATGACAACAGGCCTCCTCCAGCCTTCCCCCTGCTGTTGGCCGGGCATCCTCGCCTGCCTCACTTCACCTTGGTGTTTGTTGCAGTTTTAAGGTGCTTCTGACGACTTTATGCTCACAGTTTGGCAAGCACCACTCTGCATGGATCTCAAAGCACGTCAGGGGTCATCTCCAAGGAGCAGTCGTATTTCATGCGTGTGTGGACTTTGCTGTATTGGAAACTGCTGGCTGTAGAGGACCTATTAAAAACAAATGCCCTGTGTTTTCAGTCTCTCTCACCTGCCAAGAAGTTTTCTTGATGGCGCTGTCCCAGAAAACCATGGCAGATGAGGATTAGATTAGAATAAATTGATTTAGAAGTGACATGATGCTCCTTGGGAGAGGCTTAAATATTTCATACATGTGTATGACACAGATTTCAGCTGGGTCTTGCAGGAAGAGAGAGGGAAATGGAAATCTCATACCCAGATTCAGTGCAGCCTTGGACTCAGGCTGGTCTCCTAGTCTGCTGCATAACTCTTTGCCTCAGCTGCCTTAGCTATACCTGGGGACAGTGGATGTTTAGCACTAACCTCCTACTATGTTTTTGAAGTCCCTCAAATTGGTGAGCCTGAACTAGAGCCTCCTTCAAGGGTTTCCTGGAGTTCTGGGCAGTGCCTAAGGTTGGAGGGATGGGTTTTTGGGGGGGCCCAGGAGGGTACTGAAGCTACCTGGGATTCATATACCAAATCCTCTGAGATCCAAAATCTCCAAATCCCCAAGACAAAGTGTTGGCCCTCTCTCCTGCCCCACCTTATTCACACGCTCACAGATGGGGCCGACCCTTAGCACTCTTCTCTCGGCTGCTCTGATCCTTCTCCAAGTACTGATATTCCTGCGACACAAAGGGGATTTTTCCAGGGCCTGCAACCCCCAGTCCAGTCACTGCCCCAACCATCTCCCAGGGAAGTTACTTAATGTGGGGAGACCACAGTGGCTTGCATATTGAGCTTGGAAACCACAGGTCACTTGGGATGATACCTTGGCCTGTGTTTGCACTGATGGGCCCAAAAGAAGAGGATATAAAGAGGAATTAGGGATCGTCTCTAGTCCCTGGAATAACTGGGTAAAATGTCTTCTGAGAGGAGGTTGGGGGGCTTCTCCCTGAACCCCTATAAATGTCTTCCTGGGGCCCAGAGAGAGAAGAGCAGAGAGGGTCTCCTGCAAGCTGATGAACCAGGAAGTCTTCTTAGCAAAAAGGGAATGTCAGGGCAAGAGCTCTGGTCTTAGTGGAACCTACACATCCAGTTCCTGGAAGGAGGAGACAGCCAGAGAAAAGAAGGACATGGTTATTTATTGCCTTGGAGAAAATTCATCTCCAGGAACAAGTCTCACAGAGTGTGTGAGGTCTCTTTGGGAAGTTTTGCTCCTTTAGGGCAAATAATTTTAATATGGTTTTTGAATGTCTGGCAAATGAATTAATGAGAAAGGATAGGGGGTGATCCTTGGGATAATGTGTGGGGCCGCAGGCGTCTCTGGACCTTTCCAGAGATCCCAATCCTGCTGACGGGGGTCCTGAGTGGGTCCTCATCACCACTGTCATCTGCTTCCCTCACCAGCCTTTAGTCTCATCTCCCATGAGGCACAGATTGTGGAAACTCTCCTACCACAGACAGGTTAGGCGAGCCCCTTGCTGAGAGGTCGGAGGGGCTAGCAGAAGGGAGATTTGCTCATGGTTTGAAAATGCAAACACATGCTTGGGGAATTACTGCCCATGGTTAGGGGGATGCTGGAGATGAGGGGGCCTTTCATTGATATCAGCAAATACTGAGAACTTGCAATGTGCCAGGTGGTCCTGGGCACTGAGAATGTAGCATCTGGCAGGATAGAGCTCTCGTTTTGGGGATGGGAAAAAGAGAGAGAAAAGAAAACAAACAAGTAAACAAACACATGAAGATTATTTCAAGCATTGTAAGCACTACAAGGGTAGTATAATAGGGTGACATCTGAGAGAGAGGATGAATGGGGGTCCGGCTTTTTTTGGGTGGCCAAAGGTGTTCTCTGAGGAGATACATGGAACAGAGGAGGGACAAGAGAAGACGCAGAAAGGCGAGTGAGGAGACTGTTGTTACTGTCCAGTAGGGATGCTGGTGGCTTGGACCAGGAGGATGGCAGAAGAGATGAGGAAAGTGGACATATATGGAACATAGTTTAGAAGTGTAACTAACAAGATTGATTGGTAGACAGGATATAGTGAGTACTAAAAAGGGAGGAGTGAAAGGTTTCACAGAGGAATAAGATTTCACAGAAAATAATTCTATGTATTTATTTATTTTCTGCCTTTTCCATTAATGATTTGCAGCTTCTTACAAGAGAACACAGAGAGTCAAATCAAATCTTTTATCTCAAGAATCAGAACCAAAGGAAAACAGCACATGAATAACCCCACCCTAGAGACCAACAGAGTTACCATAGTGAGTTTCAAATTTGACTCCGAGTTTCTTAGCAGGTGGGGAAAAAAAGAAAGATTATATAGTCAAGATAATATTTGTGATTTTTCAGAGTAAAAATCCAAAGCACACTATTTTCTCAAAAAAGAGCAGAGTCTCTTAACACTGGAGTCTGGGTAATTTTTCCCAGGTGGACATTTGACAAAGAACTCTGCTTGCAGTGCAGAGTGGGATCTTAAACATGCTGGTGGCACCTGCGTTATGACATTGTACCTGATTTTCCTAAGAGATGTTGGTACTGCTAAAATGCAGCAGAGTGGGGAAAGGCATTATGGGAACCTTATTACGGTTCATGGAAGAGGGAATGCTAAACTGTGCTTAAAAACCAGAGGATAGAAACATAACGAAATGAAACGCTGAAAAAGTATAGAGACTGGAAAGTGGAAATTGCCCTGGGTAAGTCAAAAAATCATGTGTATTTTCCCTATATTTGCTTTGACTGTTCTACAGACAAAGTTTATTTTTTTCTGATTCAAAAAATTAGTATATACACACACATCAGAAACAAAATTGAAAAATACTGAAAAGAATAAATAAAATAAAAATCTCTCCCCCAGAGATAACCATCATTCCATGTTTTATGTATTTCTCGTGAATCTTATGAACTCACACATGCACACACATACATACATTTGTGTGATGTATTTATGCTACATTTCCTTTCTTCTTGGTTGTACATTCTTTGTTTTTTAATGTTTTTGAAATCAGGATCCTTCTTATAGTAGATTTAATGTTTTCCTTTTTTCTGAACTATTATTAAGCCAGTGATGCCTCTTGATATCAATGCTGTTACAATGGAGGAAATGTGGTATATAGCCACAATATCAGGGTTCCTTGTGCATATATAATTTGGCCTCCTGCTACTTCCATTTAACATTCGATCATGAATATTGTCACATGCCTTGAAATATTTTCTAAAGATGTTATTTTTACTGGCTATATATATTCTATCATAGGATGTCCCAAAATGGACTTAATCCTTTCCTCACTGAAAAACAATTTCTCAACCACATACCAATAATAGAGGCTACTCACACATAGCTTGAAGTGAAACTATACAGCTCCATGTTACCCCTGAAAAGGGGGGTGTCCGTGTGTCCAACAATGAACCAATGGTGCAGAGGTCTTGTCTGTTTCACTGCTTGAGCTGTGGCCAGGCCATGCTGTTTAACCTCATTGGGCCTGGGTTTCCTCCTGTTTAGCATAAGAAGGCTTTCTGGAGTTTTTTTCTGTTTAATGGATGCTGATAGCTAAACCTTGGTTCCCCAACCAGGCTATAGGAAACCAGTAGCTTTGAGGTTTGAGTTGTGTCACTGTGAGGAATTACACAGACCTATCTTGATGCTCCCAAGCCCTGGGGGATGCTGTGTCCTCAAGACGAAGGGCTTATCACTACCCTGGCACTCAGATCCCAGCCTCCTCTCAGAAACTCTGCAAATTGTAATGCAGCTCTGTGGGCAGAGCTGCTAATACTTACCCTCAACCCTATGTAAGGTTCAGCATTTTAGGCCAAATGTAGTTTCCTGATGAAAATATCTTCCCCAGAAAAGCCAGAGCTTGACGTGCAACGGACCAACCAGAGGCTGCTGGGATTCCCATGTTGTGCCTGGCTGCAGCTGTGGGCAGGTTACCAACCCCATTGGGATTTTCATCCAGGCCTGGAGGATGTTAGAGGTGGAAAGGGATTTGGAGGTCAGAGATGTTGCATTACTTAACTTTCCTCTTTGTATAAAATAAGCACTCCTCAAATATTTGTTGAATGATGAGTGACTGAAAATGCTCAGTGTGGCTGCCAAGAAAGGTACCCGAGGAAATCAGAGGGCTTTGATGTTGGGGAAGAATGTGATCTACACAGGTCTGTTTGTCTTGAACATCCTGTGATTCTATGAATTGCATATAAGAGGAAGGAGGGAGGAAGCAGTTTTCTCCTCAGCCCCTGCCACCTAGTGCTTGGGAAAGTCAGTTCACCCTTTGGGGACTCAGTCAACAAATGCATTCATGCAGCAGTGTGATTCATTGAGTGCTGCGGTGAGTCAGGCACAGGTAACAAATCTATAGGGTCACCAGGGACCAGCAGTCAAGGATTCCTGCCTTGTGGAATGAAGAGAGGAGAATTACAGATGACTCCAAAGTTCCTCACCTAGAAACAGGACTGCGGACTCAAGGTTTCCCAGGCAGATTCAAAATTGGGGAAGCTTTCCTGGAAATGAAGCTGTGGAACAGACTTCCCCTCCCCATTGCCCCCCAAAATGCCAACCTACTATGACAAACCAATTGAGTGAATGTTAATGAACTACAGGTGGAGCCTTTAAGGGTGGCTTTGTTCCCTTGGATTTTATATTCATATATGTTTTTGAAGATCAATTTTTTTTTTTAACGGAGTCTCACTCTGTCATCCCAGCTGGAGTGCAGTGGCGCAATCTCGGCTCACTGCAAGCTCCACCTCCCGGGTTCATGCCATTCTCCTGCCTCAGCCTCCCAAGTAGCTGGGAGTACAGGTGCCCGCCACCATGCCTGGCTAATTTTTTTGTATTTTTAGTAGAGACAGGGTTTCACCATGTTAGCCAGGATGGTCTCAATCTCCTGACCTCGTGATCCTCCCACCTCGGCCTCCCAAAGTGCTGGGATTACAGGTGTGAGCCACCACGCCCGGCCTGAAGATCAATATTTTTGTAGCTTCTAATCTCATCTCCTGGAATCTCCTTGGGGCCCCTCAAATGAGTGTTGTTGAAGGCTGATGACAGGAGAAGAGTTTGGGGGGCTGTAAAGCACTAGGATCCCATCTTTCATTGACTTGTGGTGTGACCTCAACACATCCTCCTCCACTTTGGGACTGAAAGTTTCTCATCTGCAAGGGCTGCCAGTCAGGCTGGCTCTCAAGGGGCCTACACTCAAGGATTCTAGGGTTTTGGTCCAGTCATTTCCGGTGTCAAATCCCTTTTGTTTATAAAGTCTACAGAGAAGCTTTGGGCTGCTGAGCCATTGGTGTTGATCCCTCATCCTTTACACACTTAGTGAACACTCTAGAAGACTTTGCCCTTTCCCCTACACCAAATAGCAAGGAGAAAATATTTTAGTAGTAGTGGTGGTGACACTGACCAATTAACCTTCCCTTTGCACCATCCTTGGATTTACAAGGCATGTTGCCATCCACTGTCTCCTTTGAGTTTTACAAATAACCCTTGAAGGAGGGAAGAACAGGGCATATTCTGTCCATTTTGTAGGTGAGGGATTTTAGGATCAGAAAGGTTAAGGACATGTCCAAGTAGGAGTAAATGGTAGAGTGAGTCATCCAGTCCCTGACTCTGGACCCCCTTCTGCTCACCTTGCAGCCAGAGGCAGATAACACATGTCCAATATTAGGTCAAAGGGAGGTAAGCAAAGCCCTGTGGGGAAGGGCAGGAGGTAGGAGTTGAGGAGAGAGGAAGTGGGAGTCCTGGGAGGGTGCAGATCTAGAAAAGCCAGTGCCATAGTGCCAGGCAGAGTACAGGGCATTTCCCCTGGGGGCATGCTCTTCCCTCCTGCCCTTTGTAATTGTGCTTCTGCTGAACTTCTGCAAGACATCTGACGTTACTTTTCTTTCTTTCTTTCTTTCTTTCTTTCTTTCTTTCTTTCTTTCTTTCTTTCTTTCTTTCTTTCTTTCCTTCTTTCTTCTCTTTCTTTCTTTCCTTCCTTTCTTTTCTTTCTTTCTTTCTTTCTCTTTCTTTCTTTCTTTCCTTCCTTCCTTCCTGCCTTTCCTTCCTTCCTTCCTTCCTTCCTTCCTTCCTTTCTTTCTTTCTTTCTTTCTTTCTTTCTTTCTTTCTTTCTTTTTTTTGGAGTCTCACTCTTGTTGCCCAGGCTGGAGTACAGTGGCATGGTCTCAGCTCACTGCAAACTCCGCCTCCCGGGCTCAAATGATTCTTCTGCCTCAGCCTCCCAAGTAGCTGGGATTACAGGCACCCGCCACCACGCCTGTCTAATTTTTGTATTTTTAGTAGAGACAGGGTTTCACCATGTTGGCCAGGCTGGTCTCGAACTCCTGACCTCAGGTGATCTGCCCACATCAGCCTCCCAAAGTGCTGGCATTACAGGCATGAGCCATCACACCCGGCCTGATGTTACTTTTCATGGTTACCAGGTGGACAAAACAGAGGAATGTGTCTAAATCCTAGTTAAATAAAGTAGGTTCGTGATAGGTTGAACAATTCCACTTGCTGTTTAGTGGATAGGAGTCAATAGGAAAGGAGGTGTCTAGTGGCCTACCACTGGGCCCATCCTCAGCTGTGTCACTCACTATACCACCTCCTGGGAAGGCAGATGATGGTGCACATGGCAGGCTGACAAATGTCATTTGAAGTTGACACTAAGCTGGGCAAAGCTGAGGCTGTTTGGAATGACAAGCATAGGATTCAAATGATCACATGATGGGCTGACTCAACCAAGAATAAATACAAGGTTCTGCTTGAGGATCCCCCAAACCTATATTTGAATAGGAGGGGAGCTATGCACATATGAATTCCCAGCATCATTTGTGGAGGAAAAAAGGAGGCATTTAAGTTTCAGTTTCTAGTATACAAGAAATGACCTGTGGAACTGTCAGAAAAAGCTATCAGCAGCATGAACTGTATTCATAGAGGTAGATATTTTGTCAGAGGGAGGTGGTGATCTTTGTTTGTTTTGTGCATATTCGTGGAAGTGGGATTACTGAGTTAAAGATTATGGTTATTTTTTATAACTATTAGTATGTATTGCCAGATTGACTTCCAGCTGGTATGTACCCATTTTCCTGCTCACCAGCAATATACAAAGAATGTTCCTTTCACTGCATTCACACCAACATTAAATGTTATTCTTTTAAAATGTAAGTAAAAAAATAAAGTCATATTTTAATTTGCATTTGTTTATTAACAGCAAGGATAAATTTCATTTTAAGTGTACTGGTTATTTGTGCTTCTTTTATGAATCATAAGTTCACGTTATTTTCCAGTTTTCTTTTGGAGTTTTCACCTTTTTCTTAATGATTCCAGTGAGCTCCTTACAGATATTAACTCTTCTCCATCACATTTGATGAGAATATTTCAAAGGGAAATATTTTCTGCAATTTCTCTTTTTCTCTCTCTGGATCCAGGTTCCTGAATGCCTCCGTCTCAACTTGCATGAAATGTCCCGTGAAATTCCTGGAGAGGCTTCCAGGCCATATGCTCGCAGATCTGGTGCTCACATGTCAGAAATGATGTGGCTCATTCTTCCCTGCCTCTGCCACCATATGCATGTGCCCCTAATCTGACCAGCAGATCAGCAGCTTGGGGGAGGACATGCCCACGGCTGGCAGAAAGCTGCCTGGCAAATCTTGACACCCTGGAAGAGAGAAGATGGCGATGGAGATTCACTTTCTAAGAATGCATTCCTTTGTTCTCAAAGAAAATAATGGATTTGGTGTTTTCTTGAACTTGGGGCATTTAAATGCATCTCTAAATCAAACTGCAGCAGAGAGCTCAGGTTCAGGTGATGGTCTGTCACTTACCTCTCCTGTCGCCGTGGACAGGCCATCTCACCTGCCTGTCTTCCATTTCTTTAGCTGGCCACTTGGATACCAATAGAGTTGTGCTTACTGTGCTTAAATATTGCTTTTCCAGGGGAGGTTTGATGACTTTGTCTACTCCCATACTCCTCAGATGCCGGAAACGACAGGCTCTGTGTACCCCTGTGGACCAGCCAGATTCTTGAGCAGATTTTCCTGATCTGTTTACCAGGAAAATGGTATACCCAGCAGTTTCGGCAATTCCAGAGTCCTTGGTGGCCTGGCAGTAATGGTGTCTCTCCAGTCACCCAGATGTCCCTATACAGCTCTCTACATCAGGGTTTGGCCATGGGCCAAATCCAGCCACCACCTGTTTTTGTAAATAAAAGTGTATTGGCACAAACCTGCATATTTGTTTATGTAATGTCTAGGGCTCCTTTTGTGCTACAGCGGCACTGTTGAGTAGTTGTAAGAGAGTCTGAATGGCCTGCAAAGCCTAAAATGCTTACTATCTGGTCCTTTACAGAAAAAGTTTGCCAACTCCTGCTCTAGATTGATGGTTACAAAGTCTGACAGAGGATACAGTTACAGGGACATGGCAAAGCCAGAAAAACGAGGACCGGGAGTCCAGCTTTCAACAAAGCCAATCTATTCAATCTCCAGACTACCCTTTGTACCAAGGTTAGATCCATCCTTCCTTTCCCATTAAAATATCTTAACTTTTATGAAATAAACGGGATAGTAGACTTGTAGTTTTATTTTTAATGTCCTTACTCCACCAGTTAAAAAGTTGGCCACTCTATGTAGAGCCCCAAAATAATTTGAAAATGTTATCCATCTGTGTAATCCCCAGATCAGGAACCACTAATAGTCTACCTTGAAAGGTCCTTTGGAAGCCTTCCATTCAACCCATCTTTTTCCATTTCACTACTTGTAACCATACTTTTGCCAGCAGCATCTTCATTTATGCATTCATTCATTCATTTGTATATTCATTCATATATTTACCTAGCAAGATAAGGGCTAAAGACTGTGTCAGAGGATCTCACATTTTCTGATCTCAGGACCCATTTTATTCCTAAAAATTACTGACAACCCAAAGAGCTTTTGCTTATGTAGGTTATATCTATCAATATGAAAAACTAATACTGAGAAATGTTAAAAAGATTTATTTAATAATGCAGTTAGCAATAGCAACAAAAACCTACTATACATTAGCATAAATTTTTTTATTCAAAATAACTATTTTTCAAAACAAAAAAATGAGAAAGATGGTATTGACCCTTTTGCAAATCTCTTTAGCATCTAGCTTAATAAAAGACAGCTAAATTTTTATGTCTGCTTCTGCATCCAATCTGTTGCAAAATGTTGTTTTGGTTGAAGTTTGTGGAAAGAATCCTGACTCATTCAGATTTGTAGTTGGAAAAGAGAGGAGTATTGCCTTTTCAGATAACTGTGGCTATTCTCTTTTGGTACTACACTAAAACTCAACATGTGGTAGTCTCTTAGTTTAGTTGTGATAAGAAATCTGAAACTATATCAATGAACTTTTGGTACCTGATTTACATTAAATTCCATGTTTCTATCTTGTACTTTAAATGGACCTTTTACCCATGCACAATTTTGGAGTATGATGCATTGGTCATTTAGAAAATATTGGCTCACTAGCCAGAGATGTTTTGAAATGTTGGCCCATTTAATTATACAACATCCAAGAAATAAAATTAATTTATATTACCCCTGATCTCATCAGAAAATCCTGTAAGTATTGGGAAACACTCAAGCTCATGTTGTTGAATATGAGTTGTCCAAAACGTTAAGTTTCTTTGGGACACTTAAATTTTAGCTTTGGCAACCATATGATGGTTGTTTTTCTTGAAGCGAGAGACTCCCTACATTTGATTTTGAGAAAGGGTCATCGACCAGATACTGAATAATCAGAGTAATCTTAATTTGCCTATCAGTCATGTTTTCAAGTAAAAATGATGTCCCACCTGGGCATGGTGGCTCACACCTGTAACCCCAGCACTTTGAGAGGCCAAGGTGGGCAGATCACTTGAGGTCAGGAGTTGGAGACCAGCCTGGCCAACATGGTAAAACCCTGTCTCTACTAAAGATACAAAAATTAGCCGGGCATGGTGGTACATGCCTGTAATCCCAGCTACTCAGGAGGCTGAGGCAGGAGAATCGCTTGAATCTGGGAGGCAGAGATTGCAGTGAGCCAAGATCGCAGTACTGCACTCGCACTCTAACCTGGGTGATAGAGTGAGTAAGACCCCGTCTCTAAATAAATAAATGATGTCCCATGGAAAAAAGTGGCTATTTTAGCATGACACTCGCAGGGACCTTTTTTTGAGGTAATCATTGTACTGCAGGAGGAGCAGAAGTGCTAGACACAGACTCCTTATTTTGTTACACAAAATATTAAAAAGCTGTCTACCCACGGGTTGAGACTTAATTAATTTAATATGTTGCTCTGCTTCATCAAGGACATTGTTAAGTACCTTCTTAAAGACTGAGTGCAAAAGAGTATGATGACTACCAGTCCAGTCTAGGCCCGCTGCTTTGATTCTTGCTGAGGCACCAGCAATTTACTGCGGCCACTGTCCTTGCATCGTCAATGCATTGCAGCACCACCACCAGAGCCAGCAGCAAATCGCATCTCAGTAACACTGTGGAGAGTCTTTCACCTCGTGGACTTCTTGAAAGGGTCTGGGGGGACCCTCGGAAGTGCACGGACCATGCTTTGAGAAGCACTGTGTTGGACACAGTCGGGGATGCTAGGTAAATCAGATTCAATCCTTGGCACTGACGTATTCACCATCTGATGGTACAGGTTGACACTTGACAACTCAAATCTAAGTCGGTATGGAAAAATACTATAGGGCATTATTTTTTATTGTGGTAGGATATGTATAACATGAAACTTACCATTTTAACCAGTTTTGAGTGTACAATTCAGTGGCATTAAGTAAATTCACATTGTTATGTAAACATCACCACTGTCTGTCTCCAGAATATTTTTTTGTCTTCCTAATCAGAAACTCTGAACCCATTAAAGAATAACTCTTCCTTCTCCCCTCTCCCCAGCCCCTGGTAACCACCATTCTGTTTGCTATCTTTATGAATTTGACTACTCTGGGTACCTCACATACATAGAATCATATAAGATATGGCTTTCTATGACTGGTTTATTTCACTTAGCCTGATGTCTTCAAGGTTCATCCATGAGGAATTTTCTTCTGTTTTCCCTTTCTTTCCTTTTCTTTCTTTTCTTTTCTTTCTTTCTTTTTTTTATTTTTTTGAGATGGGGTCTTGCTCTGTTGCCCAGACTGAAGTACAGTGGCATAATCATGGCTCACTGCAGCCTCAAACTCCTGGGCTCAAGAGATCCTCTCTCCTCAGCCTCCCAAGT
This sequence comes from Homo sapiens, assembly GCF_000001405.40. Taxonomy (NCBI): domain Eukaryota; kingdom Metazoa; phylum Chordata; class Mammalia; order Primates; family Hominidae; genus Homo; species Homo sapiens. The sequence continues at coordinate 78,528,219 of NC_000010.11, forward strand.
AGCTGGGACTACAGGTACACAACACCACTCCCGGCTACTTTTTTATTTAATTTTTTGAGACAAGGTCTCACTATGTTGCCCAAGGTGGTCTTAAACCTTGTGCCTCAAGTGAACCTCCTGCCTTAGCCTCACAAAGTGCTGAGATTACAGGCCTGAGCCACTCTAGGCAGAATGTCCTTCCTTTTAAGGCCTGGGCAACAGAGCAAGGCCCTATCTCAAAAAAAAAAAAAAAAAAAAAAAAAAAAAACCAAAGAAAAGAAAAATAAAACGGAAGGAAATTCCTCATGGATGAACCTTGAAGACATCAGGCTAAGTGAAATAAACCAGTCACAGAAAGCCATATCTTATATGATTCTACCTATGTGAGGTACCCACAGTAGTCAAATTGAATGAATATACCACATGTTATTCATTCATTTATGAATATTTGTGTTGTTTCCACCTTTTGGCTATTATGAATCAAGATGTTAATTTTTGCAAACCTGGCTTAGTCCTCCAGTCAGCTCCTGATTATTCTTTCTTTCCTTGGCAGGAAGTCACGGGGTGACTCCAAGCAGGGCCCCCTTTGCATTCAGCCTGCCCTTCTCTCAGCCCAGGTAAGTTCACGTTAGTCAAGAATTCCAGCATTCTCTTTCTAACACACACTGCTCGGACCTGACACCCCTGCACTGCATTTCCTTGTTGTTTGGTCTGCGTACCATCTATACCAGAGTAGATTCAGCAAACAGCTGCTCTCCTTTCGTTTCATTTCGACAAGTCTTTATTGATCGCGCATTATTTGCTCATCAAACAGATCTGCCGTTTCAAACACTTACAGTCCTGGAGTTGGCTCCACGTTTGCCTGTTAAATCTGTATTTGCACACGTTGGAGTTGGCAGTTCAGCTCAATAAAGACAAAAAGGTCTACGTGCTGGAAGTAGGTGTCTTGGTGAGAGTTTCCAAAGCATGGGGATTTTTTAGACTGGCTGAGGCGGCCTTACCTACCAAAGCCTCCCTAAACCATGTTTATCCATCATTTAGATATTTTATTACTAGATGTATCATTTCATCCAGGATTTGGGCTATTGTGCTGCAGCATCCAGTCAGTTGAGTGCTAAATGACAATTGGGTAAATTAGACTTTCAGCAAGGAGAGTTGTATGTTCTGTGAAACATACAGGAAGAGAAATTATATTGTGTTCTGTCCTCTTTGTATGTCTCACCGAAGCTCCAGGAAAGAAGCTGCCAGCCGGCACTCACCTTTTAATTTTGAAACAGCCCTTGACTCACCATCATTCATTGGCACATCTCATTCACACACACTTGCCCTTCTGATTGGAAAAGTCCCTCCTGTTTTCACAATGGAAAACAAGCACTTGAGACCTACTAATAATAGGGAAAATGAAATATCTGCCTCATGCTTCACTGTTTATAAAACCCTTCCAAGTAGGTTATTTCATGCCATCCTCACAATAGACTTGCCATTAATGATGTAAAGTGATATGTAAATGCTCAGCCCAGTGTCTGGTATCCAGAGGGAATTCTGAGTGGGTGGTTGTTAGGGAGGCATTATCATCCCCATTTATAGATGTGGCTCAGAGAGGGTAGGCCCATTAAACACAGCCACACAGCTTGTAAAGAGCCATTTCCTAAACTGTAAATTTATGTCTTGGGATGTCACGTTTAGTGTATGTGTGTATATGTATATATCATGTTTTGTATATATATGTGTGTGTATTGCTGTGAACAGTAGATACATAATCATACCTTCCATATGTATATATAGAGTCACGTTTTTTTTTTTTTTTGTGTGTGTGTGTGTGTGTGTATTGCTGTGAACAGTAGATACATAATCATACCTTCCCCAGGACCTGCCCAGACATCAAAATAATCTGATGTACTAACTGCTTTTCTGTTCCTGTTTTAATACGAGCCTCACACCAATGAAAGGACAAGGCGGAGGAGGAAAGGGTAGGAAAGCAGAAATGAATGAAGAATTCTCTAGGTGTGTGGTGGTCACACACTTTACGTAATTTAATCCTTAGAGCGAACTGCAGGGGTATTATTTCACTGTTCTATAAGCAAAGCAAATGAGGATTGGGAAGGTTAGAAAACTTAGTATCACAGAGCTAATAAGAGAAGGAGCTGGGATCACAAACCAGATGTGTTTGATTTCAAAATTCATGTCCTGTCCGCCATCACACAAGCTAAACTGATGGGCTTGAGCTACCAAAGTTGGGTCAAGAAAGCGGCGGCTCTTCAAGGACATTTGGTCCAATGGCCTTACCCTGGACTGCATGGCTGTGAGAGGCTCCGGGCATCTTCATATGTTTTATGAAATTATGCATCCATGGGAGTGTGCCCAAGTGCACATACTCCATGGGAAGGTTCAGAGTAATCGTAAGAAACCAAAATAAATTTTGAGACTCACTGATTTATTCCAACACTGGTTTGTAAATGGAGAAACAGGTGCCCGGGGAGGGGAAAGGTGTTACCAAGCTGTGGCTGTTAGTGATAGATCTGGGACCCCATCTTCAGTGTCCTGACTCCCAGGCTACACTCAGTGCCCTCCCTCCCTCTACCTGACAGATGGTAAAGCACAGAGGGCAAAGGTCAGGATTTTAAGAGTTACCTATTTGGAACTGGACCGGCCAGATGTCCTTGGTGGACCTGCACCTAAGTGGCCTCAGAAAGTTCCAAGGTGAGCAACCGGGGCCTGAGAAGGGAAGAACAAAGCGTCCACTGGCATCTTATCCAGGCTCAAAGGGGCTTCCATTTGAAGTGTGAGAAAGGGTCGGAGCTTTGCTTTGTCTGAAAGGGCAGCCTCTGAGCTCCGTATCTCCGAGGTTTATAATTTCAGCTTGTTTCTCCTCCCACTCCGCCATGCTGGTCATTATGGCAGAAAGAGCACTTGATGGAAGAAAGACAGGTTTGTCTTTGCAAGAACAATTTCTCTGTTGTCTGTTGAATGCCACCCAATATGATAAGTGAAATGTTGATACTTCAGACAGACTCCACTGGTCTGGGTATTTATTCACTTGCCTTAGTTATCAGCAAGTTCAGCCAGCTGGCCAAGAAGCAGGTTTTAACTTCTTTGACAAGTAAGGACTTGCTGGGACGTGGTAATGGAACTTCCAATGTCATTGTTGTGCAGTCCTTTGGATTTCTCCCAGCTTGTCCCCACTCTGGCTCAGGTTTCGTCCTGGGAGGAAGGTGGAGCAAGTGGGGAGGGCAAAATGAAGGAAAGCTCCAGGCAAGGTGGCCCCAGGTCCCCCAACTGCTGACTCAACGCCTTACACCAAGTGATGTGCACTCAGCCACCAAGTCCATTTAGGGATGCTGGTTTTCAACCATTTAATCAGTCTATGGTAGTGGTTTTACCTCCCTGGGGACAGTTTTGCTGTGTGTGGAGACATTTTCACAAGTAGGGGATGCAGCTGTCATCTAGTGCAGCAGTCCCCAATCTTTTTGGCACCAGAGCCAGGTTTTGTAGAAGACAATTTTTCCATGGGGTCAGGGTTGGAGGGATGGTTTCAGGATGAAACTGTTCCACCTCAGATCATCAGGCATTAGATTCTCATAAGGCACTTGCAACGTGGATCCCTCACATGCACAGTTCACAATAGGATTTGCTTTCCTATGAGAATCTAATGCCACCACTGATCTGACGGGAGGTGGAGCTCAAGCGGTAGTGCTCTCCTGCTGCTCACCTCCTGCTGTCCAGCCCAGTTCCTAACAGGCCATGGATCAGTACCAGTCTGCAACCCCAGGGGTTGGGGACCCTTGATCTAGCAGATAGAGGGCAGGGATACTGATAAACATCCTACAATGCACAGGACAGTGCCCACAGCAAAGAATTATGTAGTCCAAAATATTGATAGTGCGAAGGCTGAGAAACCTTGGCATAGGAGTGCTGGCTGCATCAAGGCATCAAGGAAACCCAGCATCCACTGGCCATCTGCCACGCTGGTTACCAATGAGATACCCACAGCAAAGGACTATCCAGTGAAAATGCCGGTAGTGTCAAGGTGAACTGAACTTAGGGTGAAATCCCAAGGTGAAATCTGAACTTAGGATGTTTGGATTCTAAGCATCCAGCTCCAATCAACTTAAGTATCAAAGGGAACTTATTAGAAGGAGAGAATAGAGGGAAAAACTGATGTGGCTGACCTCTCAGAGAGCAAGAGAGGGGCAGCTCCAGTGTGGAGTGTGCAGAGACCTAAGGGCAATCTCCTCCAAGTGCCACTGCCAGGTCAGCCAGTTTCTGTCTATTTGCCATTAGCAAAGGGATGTGAATTTCTTGGGAGAATCCTGGGATTGGCTAGGTTGAGGCTTGGGTGCTGGAGAGGTCAGGGAACCTTCAGATCTGCATGCCAGGGGTAGGGGGCTGGCCCCAGAGAGGAGCCAGAGGTGCTCAGATCAGAAGGGGGCTGGGTGCTGGCTGTGCAGAACCAATACAGGTCCCTGCTATTAGCATGGCATAGGAAAGGCCTTGGGCTCTGTGTCACATGACTCTACTCAGAGGAGCCAGGCAGGGCAGAGATTGTCAGGAAACACTTGGAGAATTGAAGCAGAGACACCCGAAGTGGCAAAATGTGCTAGGATCAATCTTGAAGAGAACATACAGGCACTTGGTAGGGTGGCCTTTCATTTCCTGTTTTTCAACAAACTGTGTTTTCCAGTTCATGTTTTAATCTGACAGACATTTAATGGCTTTCTCTGGTATCAAGGAGTTGTGCCAGAACACCGAGCCTCATCAGGGGCTCGCCTTGCCTGTGAAGAGCTTACAGTCTAATGAGGGAGGGGGAGAGAGAGATAGAGAGAGAGAAGCAGAAAAAAAAAAGGAGCGGGAGAAATGGGAGTGAGATGAAAGATAGCAAAGGGGGTAGTGCCATCGGAGAATGTGTGCTGGGGGCATGGGAGAGCTGATGAGGTTGGTCAGCCGGTCATGGAATGCCGGGATTCCACTTGGAGCATGGTGATTCTTCTTACTGTGGACTCACCCCCTTAGCAGCAAAAGAGGAAGACAGCCACAAGGACCCGGGAAGAAAGTGCTGCTATTGCCAAAGATGTTCCAGTGTCTCTAGAGCAGCATTCTGTGGTGGGTGTTGTCCTGCTGTTCCCATGTGTCCAGTGTGGGGAGGCTGCTCCCCCGTGACCCTCCAGGCCCCGAGGAGAGGCCATGGTGGTGTTGGCAGGAGAGTCCCTGCATCTGTTCCTTTTATTTGTTCTGTTAAAGAAAAAGGCCCACTGAGGGTGTGCAGGAGATCCAATCCACCAGTCACATGGCAATTATTTATTATGAGGCTTGAATACTTTCCTGATTGTATAAGGTTTTATTGTGTTTTTATATGGAGGGCAGACTTGGGGAGTCATTTTGGCAGCTGAGAGGAGGAGGGAAAAGAGCTTTCTGGGATCACTCTGGGAATTAAAAGTTCACCTCTAGATGGAGGTTCAGGGGCTAAGTGAGATTCTAGGGGCTTGACCAGAAACCTCGAATTCCATTAGTGCTTAACCCTCTATGGGAAGTTAGGAGGAAAGGTATTTTCCCTTTTCTCCCAACATGAATCAGATTTTCCCTCTAAATAGCTCAACTGTTGGGCTCCGAGAGAAAAGAGGTGCACTGTGATCTGGCTGGGGCAAGGACGCTGCTCCCTCTGTGTGAGCCACTCCCTCCCCCTCCACTGCACCCTTGGTGGCCTGGGCTACCTCCAGTGTGTCACAGTCCCACTTGGTGGAAAGCAGAGGTCTGGCTCGACCAGCTCTGAGTGCCTCAGTCCTGCAGGTCTGAAACATGGTGGCTCCTCCGCCAGACTATGAACCCACCACCACCTTCCCAGAAACACTGCTGTCTGATGGGTTTCACTTTTGCATCGGGTTTGAGCTACATCAAGGACCCAATTCAGAGAAGAGCCTTTTTCCTAATACACAAACACACACATGTGCATGCTAGTGTGAATTCCACCCATCCTTCAAGGCTCAGGCCTCCCCTCTCCCATGAAGCTGACAATCACCACCCCCAGCTTCTGCTCCTTCTCCCCCTGTTCCCCCTCCTCCTCCTCTGTCTCCTCCTCTTCTTCTTACTTCATCACCACTATTTACTGAGTGCAAACCATGTAGCAGGCAATAGGCTAAGTACTTTAAAGATACTATTAATATCTTTGTTAATCCCCACAAAAACCTTATTATTGCCTGTACTTTATACATAAACAGCCTAGGGCTCAGAGGAGTTTTGCTGCTCATCCAGGGTCACACAGGTAGCAAGTAATAGCACCAACCGTTGAACCCAGGTAAGAGTGATGCACAGGCCATCTCGGCCTCCGGACTAGACTCCAGTGACCTGCACCTGCGCTGGTTCCCACTCCCGAGAACTCTCTCTGGATGTCTTGCATGCAGTCTGGTGCTGCTAGCAGCCACGCTCTCCCCTGAGCAGGCTGCTTGGCCTCAGCAGAAAGTGCATGGAAATCCCTGTTTCTTCATCTGGCTCTGGGGTTACTTTATGTGTGACCTTGGGCAAATTATGCTCTGCTTCAGCTTTCTGGACTGGAAAATGGAAATAAAAATACTTACCTTGCAGGGTTGCCTGTGATGCTCAATGACCTATTACATTTGAAAGTTCTTGATAAGTGAGAGATATAAAATATCATTATTTTTACTATGTCCTGTCTCCAGTGCCACTAGGCAGGGTCACAAGCTCCTTGGGGGCAGGCCCTGTGCAAGTGCCTCATTATTCCCACAGAGCTTCTGGCCAGTGCTGAATATATAAATGACACTTAAAACAAAGGGGTTGACCTAATAAAAGCACCTTGTTTATAAATGTGCTTTCTCTATAATATTGCCAAATTGCCCTCCATAGGGCCTGTGCCACTTTGTACCTGGAGCAGTGGCAATCAATGAGCTCTACTGTTTCTGTACACTTCCCTAACACCATGTGATAACCAACATTGAGATTTTTGCCAACCCTATAGGTAAAAATGAGCATCTCAGCATGATTTAAATGTGCATTTATCTTATTATGAATTAGGTGAAGCAGAGTTTCATATATTTAACAGCCACTGGTATATCCTTTCATATAAATGGCTGTCAACTGTATTGCACTGTTGGTCTTGTTTCTTCCTCATTGATCTGTAGGATATGTATTTGAGGGATCAAGGACATATCATTTGCAAATATTCTTTCCTAGTTTGTCATTTGTTTTTAACTTTATGTATGCTGTAACTCGTTTGAGAACATCAGCAAAGAGAAGCCAGCACATAAGACCTGGTGGAAATTTAGGAGAGTCCACGTGAGCTCACAATGTGCTTCTCGCGCTGAGTATGTGTCTGTGTGCCAAGAGAAATACAGAGATGCAGGACAAATGAGGTGAAAACTTTTTTTACAGATATATTTATTAACTTACACTATTTATAGTTAAACAACTATGGATATAATATAGTATGGAATTCAACATTTGTATAAATTTTTTGAGTAAAGCGTTGAAATGTCAAAGTAATGGCACACCTGCATCTGACTGCTTTGGGCCCTGCCCCCAGACACTCTTTTAGGGGTTTTTCAGTAAGAAAGTTTGAAAAGTGCTGCCCTCATGGGAATCAGTAAGCTCAAGTTCTTATCTCAGTTTTGCCCTAAATTATCTGTGTGACTTGGATGAATCATGGTAGGTGCCATAAATGTCATAAACTTCAGTGGTGTCATAAACATCCTAAGCCAGAATAGCCAGTCTGTGGGCAGGGGTTGCTATTTACTGCTGAATCCTCTGTGTCTGGGACACATACCTGGTACATAGCAGAGGCTCAATAAATAGATATCGAATACAAATAAAGCGACATGCTCAAAGTGCACTTTGTAACTGTCCCCAGAGGGACAGTTTTCAGTTCTGTCAGCATCTAAAGGGCTGGCCTACTCTATGTAGGACTCTGGGATACCAAGGTGAGTGAGGCAGGTCCCTGTCCTTCCCCCTGTCCGGAGGAAGCAGACACATGCACTCTGGTGTGAAGACGCTGCAGGAACTTCCTGGCTCCATGCCCCTCCCCACTCCATTCTTGCCTGGGTGTTGTAGGACACTGAGGCCGAGGCCAAGACTGACAACTTTGCCATGTGTATCGAAGATCACCTTATTCACTCTTCTGCTATCTCAAACCCCTACCCCCATTTTGTGGGGGACCTGGGGTGGTCCAGGCCCTGTGAGACTATCAGCAAAAGCAGTCTTCTCACATCATGGTGGTCCCGACCCCTGTCATGCACCCTGCCCTAAAGACACATGATCTGGGCTGTTTATGGGGTGTGGGCTCTGAGATGTGGGTGGCAGCTCCTGGGCCATCGGCAGGCAGTAAAGTCTGCAGTGCAGGCCTGTTTTCCAGCTACAGCTGCCACATCAAAAGGCCAAACTCCCTGCAAACTTTGCCTTAATTAAAAAGTTACGGTAATCCTCAGGATAGAGGCCGGTTGGACACCCCTGGAGACAAAAGTTCTCTCTGTGGCCACGGACCAGGCCCTTCCACCCACCCCAGGCACTATTAAAAGTGGGACCACGCTGTGGGCATCACAGGGTCTGGTGAAATAGGAGCGGAAAGACCCTCTTCTTTCTCCATACTCATAATTTGCTTTGGAGGGCTCTAGAGCCAAACATTTGAAAAGGGGCTCTGGCTTCTTGGACAGATTTCTCATTCTCACATGCCCCTGTATGCTTTGGGGTCTTTCCCAGCTGTGTTTTCAAATGGCTCAAGCCCACGGAGGCAAGTGTTAGAGAGCTAGGGCCTGTGGAACACCCAAGTCCCATTCCATATCTGTAGTCAGCGTGGTAATTCATATTTTCATTTTCCCCATGAGCAAAATGAGCCCTGGCAATGGAAAGGGGCTTGCCCACAGCTACCCAGTATACTGAAGGCCAGCACCCTGCTCACGGTCCTAACTGAATCAGTCCACTGTTATGAAAGTTGCAGAGATAGCGATGTTCACTGGACTATCCATTTGCTCCTCCACATTCCCCAGACCTCTTATACATAGGCAGGGTCATGTGACTGGCCAGTGACATGTCAACCAGAGTGAAATGCATCCGTTCTTCTGCTGCATGGAAAAGCAGATATTGGATTCTCTAGCCTCTCTCTGTCTCACTGCCAGGACCGATGATGACAGTGTTCCACATAGTGAAGTCTTCGTGGGTTTGGGGCCTGCATAAGTGCCCCTCTCTGCTACTTGTAGTGAACTCACATTACATATTTTTGCTGTGCTAAGTCACAGAGCTTTTTTTCTTGCAGCAGAGCAACCTAGCCTAACCTAAGCAATATGCTATTTAACAAATTAGCCAATGAGCACTTGGTTTTTACTGACTCACTTGTTCATGAGGGCCCCGAAGAGTCCATAGATAACCAAGGAGAAGTTGAATAAAGGAAGATTTCAGCTCAAACATAAAACAATACTTTTCACAGAGTCATGTGGAGATGAATGTGCTGCTTCAGGACATGGTGCCATCTCTACTTTTGAACAGATTTGTAGCTGAGGCCATATGGCTTTTTGCAGGAGGATGGTGGAGTCAAATCCAATGGAGTGGAGTGAAGATTTATCTCCTCGTGCTCAGGGTCTCCTCTCCCAGCAATTCACATGCATGTGAATTCCAAAGAGACTCCATCTCTGCAGGATGGTTCTTCCAAATATTCTCCCCTGGGCAGATGGTTTTTTTTTAAGTGTCCTGTATGGCACACCAGCAAGTTAGAAAAGCAAGGCCGGGTATCAGCTCCATATGCCCCTTGGCTGGCATCTTTGTTCAGTGCAGAAACCATCCAACTGTACATAGCAGCACCAGATACTGGGCACCATCTCAGCACCTTATATATGCCATTTCATTTTTAAACTTTCTACCATAGTCCAGCAAGATGGGCACTATTATCCCCATTTAACAAAATGAGAAAACCAAAGCTCAGAAAATTTAAGTAAATTGCCTGAAGTCACATAGCTAGTAAACAGCAGAGTTATAGTTCAAATCTGTTCTATTTGCTTCCATGCCCAATGCCCTTTCTATCACTCTACAGCTGCCCCCATTCAAGCTGGGAGTCCATGCCCAAGGTCATATCATGGGCAAAGACAGGGCCCAGGCCAAGGGTACTGGAATCCTAAGCCCAGAACACCAGCTCCACAGTCCTACCCAGAAAAGTGAAATTTCCACAGGTGTGATAAACAGGGACTATTTACAATGCTCTGAGTCTTGCCTCAGTGGAAATATTTAAGGTAGTGTCAAAACAAAATCTATTATTTCATTTATGAAGACATTCATAGGGGCTGGGGAAGGATGCAATGAAATATTTGCTTCTGTAACCAACTGGCATTCTCCTGTTTCAGTCCCCAAGTATGTCTGAGGATCTGGGTCCTGAGTGTAAAATAAAACATACTTAATTTTCTCAAATATCACTAGTTAGGAAAAAAGCAAAAGAAAAGCAGAGTAATTTCCTTCCTCATCTCCTGCCGCAGGTGATTGGATTGCAGGATTGCATGGAGGGAGAAGTGATTTTGTTTCTTGGATGGTGAAATTAAGTGAGCACTTCCCAATTTATTCCTAAAAACACGGAGACACCGCGTTTATGTTCCTGAAATGAGAAATCAGTAGAAACACAACTGGGTAAAGAAAGGGAAATTAAAAAGAAAATCACCAATCATTTGATTATATGACAACACGTGAACACTCACATACTTGATTGTACTCTGCAAGTCTGTAGAAAGGAGGATCATTTAAGAAAAAAAAAAAAAGACGCTGGTTTCAGCATGTTTTTTGTAAGGATGGGCTATGGCAGCTGGAAAGCTAAGTGTCCTGAAACAATGGATGGCCCTCACATTTGTGCAAGGTCTTCAGAGTTTACAAAGCGCTTTCAGACGTGTTGTATTTCTCCTCCATGTCCTGGCTTATGCCAGGCTCTCCAGCTCCCCTTTCAACCCACCCTCCCTGTTCCTGCTCCATGCTTTCTGTACCTGGAATGCCAAACTGCCAGATGTCTCATCCCCTAGCTGTGCCATGTGCACAGGTGCCTACCTACACAGGAATCTGCACTGCTGCTTCTCAGCCCCATGCCTGGGTTGCCTCCGTCATGCCTTCCTCACCTTTAAGACTTCCATCACCTCTGGTGCCGCCTCCTGCAGCCTTCCCTGAGTGCTCCCAGCCTTGCCTGGCCACCCTTCTTCCCTGTTCTCCCATGCCCTCTGTATCTCTCAGTCCATGCAGTCACCAGGATCTGAATGTTGACCTTGCTCCTCTCTTGGCTGAGTGTCCCCTGTAGAGCAGGGAACAGCTTCTTCCTAGGCAGACACTGGACCCAGCAAAGAGCGTGGCTTAGAGTCTGTACCCAAGAATTACCGGGCAAATGAATCCCCTGAGGGTGTCATTGTCCCTATTATATCCACCAAGAAGCTGAGGGTCCTGAGGGCTGGGTGATATGTTTTGTGTCCCCAGTGAGTTAGAGGTGGTGCCTAGGCTAAAGTCCAAGTTGGGTAATTCCTGGCATTCCTGTTTGCTATGGAACACGAATTAGATGCCTCGTGGAACACAGAGACTGGGGTGTATTTGAGGTTATGCGTGTTGGTGCTGGGGCTTCCTTCCCCTCTTAGAAGCAGAGTTGTCTTGAAGTTAAAAAACCATGTGATGTGGCCCCATTGCCCAGTATTCTCTGTATTGGAGCGGAAGTACAGGATAAGAGTCTCCACTTTATCAATGCTTATGGACTTCAGAGTGAAGAGATCAACCAGGACCAGATTAAAGGAAATACAGTTAAAGGAATAAAGTTATGTCAACTCCTTTAATTAATGTGTACATTTATAGTCTCAAGTATACAGACACTTTCTATTTAAAAAATAAGATGAAATTATGAAAGGGATAAAATAAAAGTCAAAAGACATGCTTCAAGGAGGAACTAAATAAAATAGTAAGAGCTGCCTGTGGTGGCAAAAGGAAACACAAAAGAGTGAAAGAAATATACAACTCAAATGAGGATTTGACTATATACAGCTGCCAGAGGCTGCCAGTGAATGGCTGGTCAGCAGCATTGCTGGCCTTCCTCCTTGCAGGATGTTCTTGTATAAATCCAGCAGAGCCTTGGTGCAACTCACTTCTTCTGAATGCCTACTATCTGCATGCCCCTGAAGACACAAAGAACCCCAGAAAAATGGCAATAAAACATAATTAAGAAACACCAGGACAATCTTCACTGCACAGTGGGAGCCCAGAAGGAATGATCATCTCTGTCTACAGGAACTTGTTCCCAGAGCAAACAGGCACCTGAGCAACCCAGATGGGTGAGGGTGACAGGTGGAGAGATGGGAGAAAGATCTCCAGCAGAAGCAGCTGCACAGGGGCAGGCAGCAAAGCCCAGAGCTAGGAAAAGGTGTGAGTCATACGTTTGCAGATCTGTAAGAAGTTTATTATAGCTGGAAGGAAAGGCTGAAAAAATGGTGTTGATGCTCAGTCCTGTTTATTGAACACTTAGTATGAGCTGGGACCAGAACTAATGCACCATTCACTGGCCTCACCATCACGACAACAAATGAGGTTGCCACTGTTACTACCCCCTTTTTGGAATGAGAAGATTAAGTCACTGAGGTGGAGTAACTTGCCCAAGATCACAAGGTTGGTGTGGATCCAGGCCCATGTCCATCTCTGTAAACCCATGTTCTAGATAGTAAAATGTCTCCCATGGTGTATCAGTCACCCATGGCTGTGTAACAAATTACCCCAAAACTTAGCAGCTTAGAACAACAGTTTTAAGGTCAGAAAAAGTTTAAGGTCAGAGTCTGAAATCTGGGAGGGGTCTTACTGGGTGGTTCTGGGTCAGGCTCTCTCATGAAGTTGCAGTCAAGATGTTGTCTGAGGCTGCAGGCATCCAAATCTTAATGGGGCTGGGGCACCATACATCCTAGTTCACTTGGTGGCTATTGGCAGAAGGCGCCTGTTCTGCATGATGTGGGCTCTCCATCATGCTTCTGACCTGGCAGTGTGCTTCTCCAGAACAAATGGCCCAAGACAGCAAGCATGACCAAGACACCAATGTCTTTTATACCCCACCCTTGGAGTGCCACACTTCTGCTGGACGCAATCAGTCACACAAACCAACTGTGGTACAGATCCGGGGCTGAATGCTAAAAGGCAGGGGTCCTGGGGGCCACTAAGAGGCTGCCTCCCATGCCTGGGCATCCTAAACTATTTAGACTTTCTGTTCCTACAAGAAATGGGTAAGGGGGGATTGGGATCTGAAGTTTCGGTTCCTCCAGTGGGAATTCCAGGGGCCGAATTTATTATAAAATGCATGTAGAGAGGCCCAGCTTGACCCACAGTGAGAAGTTCAGCTGCTTTTTCCATCCAAACAGCATGTGCAGTAGAATGGCCCTTCCCCTCCCTGATGGCTGCTCGACTGTGCAGCAAGTCTGTCAAAAGATCTCTGCACACACTAGGTGCTCTGTGTTGTGCTGGCTGAGTTGAATCTGGCTACAGCTGCAGCTCTGGGGACCCTGGGCTTTGCAGTCATGTTCAGAACTCCCTCAGACCCATGTGCCCACTTCCTCAGACCAGCTCATATTTACCCTCTGAGGTGGTCACTGACACAGCCACTGACTGCCCTTCTGAGCAGGGGCTCCCTGCAGATCCTCAGCATGCTGGGTGGGCATGAGCAGGCTGCTCTGAAAAGCTTGGCTTCCCTTTCTGAGGATTTTATCAGTATATAAAAATAAACAGAGTTGGCTGACTCCTTGATGTCTCAGGGTTGCATTTTAATTGCTGCTGCTTCCGAGAAGACAGGCCAGCTCCACTTCCTGGTAGACGCCCGCACTCACAGGAACAGAGCTGAACTCTGGGTGTTGGGGCCAGAGCATCCCAGAGTGTGACTGACTGGTTTGCAATTAGCACTTCATTAGAGGGACACCTCTGGTTCACAGGACCAAGACTGGCTCACAGAGCCTGCATAGGGATGAACATCTCCCGCCTGCCCACAGAGTGATCTTTCTAGAACCCGCCTCTAGCCACACTACTTCTTGTTTAAAGTTCTTCTTACCCCTCCCTGCCTTAAGGACCAAGTTCAAACTCTCAGCCCGGCTTACAGGGACTGCCACAATCTGGCCTCTGCCTGCTCCTCAGCTTCATCCACGCCCTCACCCCAACTCCCTGGCCCTGCTTCCTTTATTTTCTACTGCAGTCAGATTCAACTACTCGTAGCTGGTAGATGATCGATGCTGTTTTTCACCTCATCTCTGCCTTGAATGCCCTTCCCTTCCCAAATAACATCTATTCCTGCTTCAGAATTAATCTTCCCCCTCCTGTCTGTTATCTGGGAAGCTGTCCATTAGCCACCCTGAGCTGAATTATAGTCTCCTTTTCTTGCTTCCACAGCAGTGAGATGGTGGTGCTGAGCCCTGAACGCTGTCTGCTTCCTAGAAGTCCCTGGCAGCGTCCCCACCCCCACGGAACCCCCTCACCCATGTTCAGGAAAGCTGCCTTGTGAAGCTGGTCATGTGGGATGTCACCTCAGGAGGGAGGAGTGGCCTGCCCAGCACAGCCCGCAGCAGCTCAGGCAAACACAGTGCACCTCACTTGTCTGCATCACCATGGCCCCTAGGAGTGAGCACGAGCTTCCACAACCTTTGCTGACAAACAGGGGTTCCGCCCAACACAGCCATGATGCCTCAACATCCGGAGAGACCCTGCCTTGTATCAGCACAAGACTCCTGGGTTTAATGATGCTTGACCCTAGCTTCTTTCAAGACTTTGGTCTTCATTTGTGCATCTGCAGGGAGCAGGGAGCATGGAGGGAACAGCAAGGGCTGGGAGTGGGTACCAAGTCAAATTCCAGCACCACAACAGGGAGCCTCGTCTTCAGCCAGTTCATTCAACTCAGGGGGCTTCAGCGTCCTCACTGGTCCAGTACAGGCAACATTCCCCCTGGCCTGCTGTGGGGTAACAGGAAAAAACATGGGGTGCCGCCAATGACATTGGGAGATGTATCTGGGGGTGAGGTTCTGGAGAGCTTCAAGCCCTGGGGGATTTGGGTCTTGAAGGCACACTGTGGACCTGGAGCAGCACTAGCCCTGCATGGCACCAGGACCCTGCCCCTCACCATGAACCAGAACCCTCTCCCTGGGAGATGAGTTCTCACCAGCCAGGGCTGCGGGGTTGGGGGCAGAAAGCAGGAGCAGCCCCTAACAGCTCAGTAGACGACAGCTTCTGGGAGCCTTTTTCACCAGGATCTGAGGCCTGTTTACATGGGTCCCCCCTGTGGTCTCTGCTGCTTAATATGCCTTTTGAAAATGATGCTCAGTGGGATGGTGTGTGCACATTTGTAATTCCAAAGAGCCGGCTGGTTTTTCACAATCTGTGCCTGCTAATTTCTCAGTCACAGGAAGGGAAATAGCAAAAAGTCCCCAATACTCCTTGTTGAGTGGATTCCCTAATAGCATTACGTAGTGCTTCCTATTTACAAAGCACTTTTATTTCTCTCAATGAGAAAGGCAGACCTACTGCTATAAGCCCAGGGGGAACCCGGCATCCACAGAGGAGAAATGACTCGTCCAAGGTGGCACAGTGGCAGTGAGAAAGAAGGGCAGGCACAGCTGCACCCCGTTTCTCCTGCCAGCTAAGTGCATGCCCCTTCATAGCAACCTCTGGCATAGACAGAAGGAGAGATGAAGCAAGAAGTTCCCAGAATGAAGGCTGTTTCCCCTAAGAGGTGGGCGTCCTGCCACAAGAAATGGCTCATCGGGAAACACTGAGTGAAAACCCACATTCAGAGCAAGGCTTCCCAGTAACTGAGATCCAGCCTGAGGTTTCCAGGAGCTGAGCCTCAGATGGAATGAGGGCGGGCTCAGAGCTCAGCCAACCCTTTGAAACTGAGCCTGCGGGTGAAGTCAGGTCAATACATTCACAGGCGTTTCAGGCCCTATCGACGTCTGGGGTGGGAAACCCACCCGAAAGCTGTTGAAATACAGGGGCCAGCACTGGTTCTGCAGAACAGTGGCTCTTTGAGTGGAAGGTGTTCGAGAATTAAGTTTCCCCAGTGTTCCCAGGGCTCAGACTTTAAGCCAAGGGGGGCTGGGGCCCCCAGTGCCTGATGGAGCCGCTGATAGGTCCCTGCTGGCTAAAAGTGATGACATTGGCAAGAAACTGATCTTTCTGGGGAGCAGAAACTCAAGAGCACTCAAGTGAAGAACACAAGGCAAGTTGTGTTACCTGCCACAAAGCCCCAGCTTTCAGGACCAGGGGAGGGGTAGATGGGGACCACTTGGTATTGGGTATCAGGAGACCCAGACCAGACCCTGAAGGAGGAAACGGCTGAAGCGAGACCTCTTATCTTGTCTTGCCTCCTCCTTCGGCATATAATCGGAACGTGCTTAGGCCAGAGGCAAGAAAGCATGTAATCCACTACCTCCCTCTGTGTCATAGACAGGAAAATTGAGATCCTGTGGCATCAGGAGCCTTGTTCTTGGGTAACAGAGTGTCAGACATGGGACTAGGAAGCAGGCCTCCAGATTCCCCGTCCACTGCTGGTCTGGACTTGGAAAACAAACAAAACTCAAAGCCTCCAGCCCTTTGTCACCATGCAGCAGGCCACAGCCACAGCACACCTCCATCTGGCCTCCTCCATATATTTTTCGTGAGCCCACAGAGTGCTGTTCCCTGCTGTAAGCTGATGCTTGCACACAAATGTCTGGCCAAAGCAGTTTTTGTTTAAAAGCTAAGTCAGTTTGTACAAAAGCACACCCTGCCTGGCATGGCTCCCTTAGCACATTCCCACTGCTAGTCAATGCCTGGTTGAATTGTGAAGACCAAGGACATGCAATGTAGGTGTCACCTGTGCACTACTGGAGATAACCCCGGGGCGGGGCAGCTGCTGACCTGGGCTCCAGAATCTCAGGTGCAAAATGCAGCTTAGATCCAACAGGGCTGAGATAGACACAAAGAGATGCAACCCTGAAGCATGGTGGTATTTTAACAAACATGCTGTACACTGGATGGCTTATAAATAGCAGAAATGTATTTCTCACAGTCCTGGAGCTAGAAGTCTGAGATCAGCATGCTGCCATCATCAGATTATGGTGAGGGCCCTCTTCCTGGTTGCAGACAACCAACTTCTAGTCGTATCCTCACATGGGGTCCCTTTTATAAGGGCACTGATTTTATTCATGCAGGCTGCACCTTCATGACCAAATTACCGCCCAAAGGCCCTGCCTCCTAATCCCATTACACTGAGTGGTAAGGTTTCAACATATGAATTTTGGAAAGACACCAGCATTCAGTCCATAACAGGTGGTCCACAGGTAGGCTTGAGTGGGCTAAGGGTTGGCAGGAAGCTGCTGGAATTGCAGGGAAGACTTCACCCATATTCATGCCTGGGCATTTGTCTAGGAAGGGTGTCCCTGGCATTTGTCTAGGAAGGGTGCCGTCTCTGCATCCTCCTTAGGTGTCTCACAGTGACCTGGTCCCACATAGCCCAGTCTGAGCTCAAATATCCTCTTCTGACTTCAAAAACGTAAGTGTTAAGAGTTTCTGTCATGCCTAGGTGACCTTGGCTGCTAAAAACTCAGTATCATTGTTTTCTAGGAACTCTGTACTTTCCATAGGATGTCATTCTGTTTTGTGCTACAGCAATGGAGATGAAGAGCTGCAGTGGAAGCGTGAGGGCAGGGGTTACAGAAAAGAGGTATAAATTCTCTTGGCTTTTTTTTTTTTTTTTTAAAAGCTTTTCTTATTGAAGTGCAACCTGAAAAACAAGCCCCCATTGGAGAGTGCCATGACACTTCCTGTGTAACGCACTCAAACGTCCCTTGGCAACTGGGAGCTGGGGAACCTGATAAGGTACAAGCTACAGATATGCCTGGGAGTTTGTAGGAGTAGCAACATTTTGTCCTCACTCCAAGTCTCAGTCAAGAAAGGACTTAGAATTTTAAAATAAAATAATGATTAGATTGGAATCATTGAATACCAGATCTAAGAAAAAACCTCAGTTTTCTCCATATGAAATGAGACTTTAGGACTTGCCCACAGAGGTGATGTGGAAACCCAATCCTTTTGACTCCAAGTCAAATGCCTACAAAGCCTCCCTGAGAATTGGGCCTTGAGAATTGTAACTATTCATATTCTTGTTGGGATAATCACTCTTTGGCAATGGCATCATGGAATCAATCTCATAAATGAAATATTAAAACTTCCCATTTTCTTGGCTAGATTTTGTTGTTATTTCACCAGAGGAGAGCCCCAAATGCAACCTCTTTGTATAAACGTCTTTCCCAGGGACCAGGGTAAAGGTATTTTTTTCTAAAGCACTTGGCTGCAAAGCACCTTAGAGGCATAGAGAATCAGTACTTTGGAATACCTGAAAGACCACCTAGGCAAGTCTTTCCATTTTGTTGCAGGGCTTTCTGAGGCCCAGAGAAGAAAAGCAGCTCAAACAGATCAACTGTATCCATCCAATTGTCCCTTTCAGAAAGTTGAAATAAGGGGGAAAAAGAGAAGTTTCTAGCTATGATGGGCACTGGGGTTTGAAGTTCACACAGCCTTGGGGAGCTGGGTGGCAGTTATTTTATTTTATCTTTAATTTTTTTGCGAGGATGAATAACCTGATAAGTAAGTCGGTCCTCAGAGGGTGGGGAGTGGAGCAAGTGAGCAGATGGCATTTCTTGCCCTGGCTTTCCTGCGATGCTTTAGACCCTGTTTTATTCAAGGGAACTAAGTTAGTTGATTGAAATCTAAAGGAGCCCCAACCAGAACAAGGGGATTCAGGTATGCACAGGAGCTGGAGTGTACGACCTCTGAGAACCCTTTAATCAGAGCAGCTCTGATCTCAGGAGTCTTAGGTTTCAGGGCCAATTGCAGTTAGTGAGACCCACGCTAAGACAACTTATGCCAATTCCACTGGAGTTAAAGGTGGCCTCTGGGAAAGGGTCTTTTGAGCTCCTTGCTGTGCATAAGATGGTCCATAGACCAGCAGCATTGGCATCAGCTGGGAGCTTGCTAGAGATGTAGAACCTCAGCCCTACCCAGACCCTCTGAATCAGAATCTGCATTTTTGCAAGCTCCCCGGTAATTCCTATGCGCATTAAATTTAAGAAATGCTGGTTAGGAAATAGCATTTTTTGGACAATAAAAAAAAAGATGGAGTGGAGCCATGAGGAGCTGGTGGTAATACCACCTCACCTCCAGAACAAACTCTCCACTTGGCCTTGGGAAAACCGTGGCCATACTCAGAATGGCTGCTTTCTCATCTGAAAATGAGGGGGTTGGACTGGATAATCTTTATTCTCTACCCTCACAGGCATTTCTCCTATGAGCTGAAAGGGGGTAGTCCTGCTCAGCTGAAGATCAGAGAGCTTCTTGCTGTGTAAAACACTCCCTAATCAGCCTTATGTCAAGTCCCCCGCCCCCCGACTAACCACAGTGACAAGTCTCAAGAGTGCACCTTGTCAGGCTGTGAATAAAGTTCAGGCAGTTTGGTTAATTACCCTGACACCGACTAGAGTTAGCTACCCAGCAGCTCAGGAACTCGTCTTAATGATTATAGGAACACACACACCGCAGCTTCGGGCACAACCTCCCCCTTTGCAGCCTACAGCCTGGTTTTGGAACCACAAGTTCAAGCAGAACATTCCCAAGGGCATCAGGGGTCTAGGGAGGCATCAGGAGGTCCCCCTTTCCCATTCCAACATGGGTGTGAAGTCATTTTCCCAATGTGCCATAGTGAAGCCTGGTAAGCATAATAGCCATCTCAGTTTCTCTCTCATGCCCCTGCTTGGAACCTGCCTGTGGTGCTCCACTGCTGTCAAGAAAAAGCCATGCAGGATGTGCCCCTCCTAATTCTCCACCCACATCTCCATTAATCCCTACCTCAAACCTTCTGCCCTGGCCCCAGAGGGCTACTCTTGGGTCTCCACATGAGCCATGTGCTTTCTTCTGTTGCACATGTTGCTTCTGCTCAAAGCACCCTTCTCTGCTCTTGACCATGATCCTTACCCATCTTTCAGATTTTAATATCTATATCACTTCCCCCAGGAAGTTTTCATGACCCTCATGACCAGGTTGAGTGCCTATCTTTCCATAGAGTCCTATGCTACATCATTCATACCAGATATCACATTGCATTTTAAGACAGCTTCCTCCAGCAGTAGTGAGCTGTGGGCTGGCAGTGTTCATACCCGACTTACGTAACATCTAAGCCTCATGAAGACAGGGATTGTTTTTTGTGTCATTGACAACTGTATCCAGAGTGCTCAGTACATTGCCTGGGACATATAAGATGCTCAGTAAATGCCTAAGGAAGGGAGGAGGGAAGAAAGGAAGGAGGAATGGATGGAAAGAGGAAGGGAAGGAAGAAAGAAAGAAAGGAAGGAAAGGAAAAAATGAAGGATGGGAAGAAAGGAAGCAAGGAGGGAACAAAAGAAGGAAGGAGGAAAGAAAGGCAGGAGAAAAAAAAGAGAGAGAGGAAGGGAGGGAAGGAAGGGAAGGAAAGAGGAAAGGAAGAAAGGAAGGAGGAAGGGGAGGAACGCTTATGCTTAGCATGCCTCGTGTACAATGAGTACTCGATAGTTGGTTTGGGAGTGACTGCATGCATGAATGGAGGCCTTTCTGCTTCTGGCATAAAGTCTGGAGAGTGAGAGCTCATTAGGAGGGATTGCTTGACAGGCTGAGGCAGAAAAGTGTTCACAAGGCCCATCAGCTCTGCAGAGGTCTGACACCAGGTGAGGAGATAAGACTTGTCCCCTGACTGTGGGACGTGGGATGAGAGGTACAGAATGGGGACTTCCATGAGAGGGTGCCTTTGAGTGAATTACCAGGGAGAAGTGTGAGGACCCCTGTCCCTCTACCCAGAGCACACATCACCCCTCTCCTGTGGGCTGTCTGTCTGAAGATCTAGAAGGCCAGTTCCAGGTCTAGGCTTTCATCTGGACTGAGAGGTAGAAGGGAAGAAGGAGTTTCTCTAGGCAGGGTCTTCAGAGAGGAGAACACTTTCTCAGTTCCCATAACCAGTAAACGGCAGAGCTGAGATTGGAAGCCACCTCCAAATGGGCCTCAAGCCCACGGCTCTTTCTAAGCACGATGCTGTGTAACAAGCTTGGGAGTTTTATATTTTTAAAGCAAAGCCCATTTAAAAATATCTATTTCTTTACATGTGGTGGCAGCAGTGGGATAATAGTCAAATGTCAATAAGTAGAAATCGGGGGAAAAGAATTGGAGCATTTCTGGAAGACCTTCCTCTTTCTCTAAGCCATTTTGGTTCCAGTTTCTCAGCTATTTCCTCAGGGTCAGGGGTTGGAGAGGAAGGTTTATATTTTTTTAATTTCGTTAAAGGATGGAAAGAGGAAGAGAAATGTTCCCTCCTTCCCTCCCTCCGTTTCTTCTTTTTTCTTCTCTAACAACCCATTACCCTACCCAGGTAGCATCCCAAGGAGCTGTGCTGGAAGGAGCTCTTTTCTCCTGTGACCAGTGGCACAGAACAGAGCAGGTGGGATAGGGTGAAAGTTGAGCATGCAGGTTTGGACGTCAGACACACCTGGGCTTAAAGCCAGCGTTACCATTTATGAGCCATTTGATCTCTGCCAAGTAGCTTCACGTCTCTGAGTCTTCATTTTCTCATCTGTGCATTGGTAACAATAATAGCATTAATCACCTGGGGATTTTATGAAATAGTGAGATAAATACAAGCAAGGTATTTAGTATGGAATCACAATCCCTAGCCACCACTCCAAAATTAGAATGTTCTAAAACCTTAAGGCATTTAAAATAACTCATTTGGCAGTAAAATCTGACATCATGTAAACTCACTTGGCAACAAAATCTGACCTGAACTGATGTAAACTATTTGGAGTTCTTATTGTGACTACTCATATGTTTTGCTGTAGAAATATTGATGTGTTTGATTATAGGGTGATACCTCAGTACTTCCTGGGGAGTTAGGTAACATGAGCTGTATGTACCATATCACCTTTCTAAAATCTAGAGTGATTTGAGTTTCAAACTACAGATGGTTCCAAAGATTTTATACAAGGGGTGTGGACCTGTAGAATACCTGGCCATGGTGACTGCTCAGGATTTAAGAGCCACCATCCCTTCTGTTTCTGGGATCTAACAATCCAAGGTACAGGGGTGTGAACCTGAGCTTTTTAGGCGTGATCAGAGAGCTGCTTACATAAAGCTTGTGCTAGACACAAGGTATCTAGACACCTGGACACAGGTGTTTGTTAATCCAGATGCTCGGACTCAACCTTCCCCCATTGAACTAACTTCTCTGGCAGCTGGAACCCAGCACTTTGAACGTGCTCCCCAGGTGACTCGGAGATCTCCTTCTACAGCCTATTATGAAAGTTCAGAGCACGATGACTACTAGCAGCCAATACTAACTGAGGAATTTCTCCTGTCCAGGGACTGTTCTAGGATATAACATTAGTCAATCCTCACAAGTTCAGTGAAACATTTTTCTCCATTTTTCAGATAAGAGACTGGAGACACAGAGAGGCTCCAGAACTTACCCAAGGTCACACAGCTTCTAAATGGGTGTTGTTGGAACCTACTTTCAGAGACCTGATTCCAAAACCCTCACTGATACTTTCCGTGAGTCCAGATGAAGAGAGGGCTTCAAGGAAAATCCATTCAGTGCCAGGATGCTACCAGCTCCCTGGGGCATGGGACTGCCATCCTCTCCTAGGCGTCTGTCCTGATACTTCCAATGTAAGTGTGGAAAAACTCAAGTTTCATAAGTTTTGCTCATGTGCTCTGCCTTGGAGAGGGTGGGAAGTAGAACAGACACTGGCCTCATGTTTTGCTGTTGGTTACCTCTCAGGCATGTGATCCTTGTACCGGAGGTTTCACATCACGTAGCCCCTGCACAGCTGATCTGTGAATGGGAAATTGGGTTGGGCCATCACCAGGTCCCCTTCCAGTTAAATATTTGTCCCAAGTCCCAGATGATTTGATATGAGAGCCCCATGCCTAATGCTGTTTGTGGATTCATTGAATCAATTATTGTTTCGTTCATTCAATTCATTCAACAAATAGCTTCTCTGTGTCTACTACTATTTGCACTCAATTCTCAGAGAAGTAAATGTCTAAAGTACCCACTTAATAACTTAAAAGCTGATTTTACCAATTTCATTTCACTGTAAGGCCTCCCAAAGGATTAACATGTTAGTGTGCACCCCCTCTCGCACCAGCACACTTGCCCACAAAACCGCCTCCCATTGTTTGAAGGGAAACCTACAAGTGGATCCCTGCCCCCACCCCCACAGCACTTTCTAATTCAAATCATCTGCCATTCACTGGCTTTCTGCCCTGGGGCAAATCCTCCACCTTCAGTCCTACTTTGATCCTCTAGCCCAGGCCGCTTTCATTTCACAGTTGAAGTAACAAAGGTTAAAACAGATGACAACTATTTCTAGAGAGCTGGGTTTTTTGCCCCCTCAACTACGCACCGTGGTGAGGCGCCGAGGAGGCCACATCACAAGGCTGGAGAACCCTGGGAGCTTGGTAGTGTTGGTGAGCGAGGGTTTGTTCTTCTCTAGCCCACTATCCTAAAGGCTGACTTCCCTCCAAGGACTGAACCTCGAAATTTACAATGCAGGGCCCCAGGGGCTGCGGTGGGGAAGGGCCTTTCACTATTGCTGGCAGCTCCTAGGGCATTTTCCTGGACTTTGGGGGCAGATTACTATGAAACTCCTATCTCATCCTGCAGGTTGGGAAACTAAAGGGAAGTTCTTTGTCCAGGGTCAGAGCATGTGCATGGGCAGGAGGGAAGGTGGGGGAAGCAGGGAGTCAGTAAAGGAAAAACAAACCAAAACCCAACAAAACAGAGCCCAGTGCAGTGTTCCTCCTGGGGGTAGCCCTTTGATGCATCCCTGGTACCTAAGAAGCTGGCTCCAGCCAGGCCTCACCTATTAGCCTCAGGGACCATTCTCCCCAGACAAGGTCTCTGTTCACTGGGCCATGCCATTTTCTTCTCATCCCCCTACCACAACTCCACATACTTCCTTAGCATTGTCTTTTCCTGAATTACCAAACACAGCAGCCTGAGCTTCACCGGGGAGCTGGGAGCTGGGGACATGTTCCTGGGAGTCTCTAGATGGATGGCTTTGAGTTTTTCCAGCAGAAGAGGAGCAGCCAAACCCAGATGTGAGGGCCCTCCCCCTCCAAGTTCAGCCTGCCCTGGTGGCTTCCTTCCCAGAGTCAGGTCTTCTAAGGAGTGCTTAGCAAGTATGTCAGCTTCCAGACCAAGGCCTGCTGTTCTTGGCTCCGGGAGATGTTTTTCAGCACAGTATGCTTGCTGTAGACTGCTCTGCAGGGGTGGGGGTGGGAGGGTGAGGGCAGACCTCTCTACTGATCAGAATTCAGAGTATGACTCCTCCAATCTGTCCCCTTGGTGACTTTACATGTTCTCAGGACAGCTTTCAGAAAGCCTCCTGCCTGCTACTTGCACTTGGGGATGTAGGGGGAGGGGTCAGCAGTCGTGCGGGGACTATATGTGGAATTTGTTGAGATCAGGCAGAAGGAAGTGAAGACACCCTCTTCTGATTTGTGACATGTGAGAACATTCTCCTGACAGAAGCAGCTCCCGGTAATAGTAACAGCTTCCGGGCCCTCGACAGGCTGCAGCCCATCACCTTCAGCGTCCTGCCAAGCTCAGCAGCAGCGTGGCAGGAGGGGGCAGAGAGCTGGAGGCAGCGTCTGCCTGGGGATGGGGGCTAGAGGTAGACACCGGGAGAGGCAGATCTAGAGGGAGACTGAGAGAACAGAGACAGGGGCATGAGAGAGACAAACGGAAATTGAGGCAAGAAGAGATCAGATCAGGGAGATACAGGCGCCTGGGAAGGCAGAGAGTAGGAAGCAGAAATAGTGCTAAAGATGGAGACAAGTGGAGAAGGAACTGCAGAGATTCGGCCCTGGGCTGGCTACCACCCCCATACTCCCTGAAGGCCTCCCTGAATCCTGCAAACACACTCCCTGCTTGGAAGCCTAGCAGCTGGCCCAGCTAGGAAGAAAGGTAAGAAGGTGCCTCAGGCCAACCCACCAGCAACAAAAATGTCTGGACCTCTGGGGCTTACGGAGGGGTTCAGGACCTAGGATTCCTAGGTGTGCAGCTCTGTAGGAAACAGCTTTCTCCCTGATGTCAAGATTTGGGAACTTGGAGTGGTGCTATTTCTCTCAAAAATAATATCTTTTTAAAAACAAAATGTTGCTTTCTCCCATTTAAAAATAACCTTTTCCCACCCCTGCTACCTCATTACAAAAGAAAACAATGCAAGCTCATCATGGAGAACATGGAAAATATGAAAAGATACAGGAAAAAAATAAAACATGAATTGTAATCACATCACCTAATGATAGCCACTGCTAGGAATTTGATGGTTTTCCTTTCAGTCTTTTATCAATGCATAGAGCTATATAATCAGCAGTAATATGTCATAAGCATTTTACTAAATATTATTTGACACTACCACTTTTATTAGTGTATATATTCTAATATGTGGACAAGGCTTTCTTTATTGAGGTAATCTATGGTTGAATATTTAGGTTGCATGTAACTTTGCTACTATGAACAATGCTTTAATAAATATCTTTCTGCCTACATCTGCCTGAGTTTCTGAATATTTCTTCAGAATATATTTAAAGGAGATTTACCGTGTCAAAACTATGAACATTTTTAGAGCATACATACACACACATATGAATACACACACACACACACACATACACACACTGATATGGTTTGGATCTAAGTCTCCACCCAAATCTCATGTCAAATTGTAATCCCCAGTGTTTGAGGTGGGACCCGGTGGGAGGTAATTGGATTATGAGGCAGATTTCCCCTTTGGTACTATCCTCAAGATAGTGAGTGAGTTCTTGTGAGATCTGGTTGTTTTAAAGTGTGTGGCACCTTCTTCCTTTCTCATTTCCTCCTGCTTGGGCCATGTAAGACGTGCCTGCTTCCCCTTCCTTTTGCAACATGATTGTAAGTTTCCTGAGGCCTCTCCAGAAGCTATTGGTGCTGTGCTTCCTGTACAGCCTGCAGAACCATGAATCAATCAAACCTTTTTTCTTTATAAATTTCCCAGTCTCAGGTATTTCTTTATAGCAATGTGAGAATGAACTAATACACACACGCACGCACACACACACACACACACACACACACTCACATCTTCAAATTGGCCCCCAGGAATAATGTACAATTAAACTTCTAGTGCAGTTTAGACCCAAGTGCTGATGACAGAGGATTTGCTAGTTAATGACAGTCCTCTGTAGCTTGTAAGGTAAGTTGAGATAGGTGGGAGGTAAGTATAATTATCTCCATTTTTTCAAAGGAAGAAACTGAGGCCCAGAGAGGTTTAGTGACTTGGCCAACATCTGAAATGGAACTAAGTGGTCTTCTCTACTGGTTTCCCCATTCCAGTCATACCATCAGCACCCAGGGTCAGACCTTCACGGGCTCTAGCTTGGATTACCCCGGAACCACCTTGCCATTGTGGTAGCCACTAGCCACATATGGCTATTTACATTTATATTTATTAAAATAAAACACAATTTAAAAAATTAGCTCCTCTGTCTCTTTGACCACATTTCAAATGCTTAAGAACTATAGATGGCTACCATGTTGGATAGTACAGATACGAAGCATTTCCATCATAGAAAGTTCTATTGAACAGCATTGCTCTAGAAGGTTGGCGTTCTGTCTTCTGGTATGGCTTCTCCCACCCCCACTCCCTCACACCAACTATCACTCATTCTATACACCATGGGTGTATCAGACATCCTGAACACATAAATTTGATCATATCACTCACCAGTCCAAAACCCTTATTGATCTTGTTACCTGTTATCTGCCACATTAAGAGGAAGCACAAATCCACAACTACCTTTGCTCTTCATCTCCATGCTTTTCTGAAAAATTATTACACACTGGCTGTGCCTGGACTGAGGTCCTATAGGCACAGAGATGGACTAAGCATGGACTCTATACTCAATGAGCCCACGATTTGATGGGTTAAAATAATACACACTGCCTGGCCTCCTGCCCTGCTTTATTATTCCTGATAGCACTTAACCACAGCCAGCATTTATTTATTGCCTGTTGCTTCCACTAGAATGCATGCTTCATGAGGGCAGTGGCTTTTTATGATTTGTTGACTTCTATATACACAGAGCCTACTGAAGTGCTTGGCACTTAGGAGTTGCAAAACAAATATCTGTGAATGAATAACTACATTTCAGGATATTGAGCTTCCAATTCTTTCTGATGGGCTAGAAAAATTGGAAATGAAGCAATGCTCCACCACAGGAGTTTGCACCTCGAGCCTATAATGTTTGAAATCTGACCTGTATTCCCTCTTGATACTCAAATGCCAGGATATTGCATTTCTGCAAACAACCACCATTCCCTACATTGTTGGGATAGAGAAAAAGAAATAATACAAGACACATTTTATGGCAACTACTTGGTCCAAAGGAGCCTTCCAGGTGGGACTCTCTCCTACTTGTAAAGGTAAATCAAGCACTCAATCCTTGCAAGTTACCCAGCAGGGAAGTTCAAGGAGAATATTCACCAAACTTTCAGAAGCTGGGGTCAAAAGAAATGAAATAAGCAACTCTCTGCAACTCTTCTGCTTTAATTTTTGAGAAGTTTTTTAAATAATAGGGAGCATTCAGTTTAAGCAGTTAGAATCCTTTTTTGTTTGCCTCTTCATTTTTGGCACTAATGGCAGTAATGGAGCAAGGAACTGCTTAAGGAACAGTTTAAGGAAGACTACTGACAATGGTAGTGGCAGAACTTAGATCTTCAGACATACCATACAGAATCCCCCCATCTTTGCCCTGTTTTCCTTCATCTTTACCTTTATTCAGAATCTTCTTATCAAATAGGAAACACTTTCATCTCCTTCTGTTGATTTTTTTTAAAACCAGTTGAAAAGCCTCTATCTTTTAATAGGAACATTTAGTCCATTCACTTTCAGTGTAATATTTTTACACATTTTTTTCCTGACAGTTGGATTTATGTTTACTATTTATTTTTTGTTTCCTCTATTTTATTTTCTTGATTTTTACTCCACTTTTCTATTCCATTGATGGTTTCCTTCTATTTTTTTTACACTTATAATTGAACACATGCTTTTCCATTATATAAAAACAAAATGCCATTATTTTCACTACTGTTTTCTTCTTTACTCCAAGATCATATGGCCTTTAACATATTTTTAATTCCCCACTCTTTGTTTCTACAGATGAGAACTTTAAAACTCATTTACCTGTACCTTCTTTTCCCATGCCCCACAAAGTTCTAGTTTTTCCCAAAAGAGTTTTATTATAATTAGTTCCAGACTGTTATTAGATTTTCCCAATACTTTGTCATTTCTATTTCAAGATCTTTATTTAGTACTTTCCTTACACATTCCAAGAAACTCTATAATTATCCATTTAAATTTAACCATATATACATTAATTATTCACTGCTCTTTCTCTCTCTTCCTTAAACTGTTAAAGGAATTCTCTTCCCCTCGCCCCAATCTCCCACAGTCTCTGTTCTGATCCCCCTTTTATTTCTGGTCAGAATCCTTCTTTTATTTCTGTCCTTAGATGGTATAGTGGTTTTAAAATAAGTCCAAAACTTCTTTGATACTCCTTCCTTCATGAGGTAGAGCTTAGTTCCCTCCTCTTGCATGTGGGTTGGACTAGCTTCTAATGTGTAGAATGGAGAAGTAGTGTGACTTCTCAGAGTAGGCCATAAAAAGCATTGCAGTTTCCTCTTTGCTGTCTCTTTTGGATCATGAGCTCTGGAGAAAGCCAGTCACCATATTTTGAAGACACTCAGGCAGCCCTATGGAGACATCCACATGGGGAGAAATGTAGGCCCCCTACAATCAGCCAGCAAGGACTGAGGCCTTCTTCTATCAGCCATGGGAATCAGTCATCTTGGAAGCAGATCTCCCAGTCTCACTCAAGTCTCCAGATAACTGCAGATAGCAAATCATCAGAACCCCTGTTGAGACACCCAGAGGAAGCCTCTTTGTCTTCTCATTATCTCCTGAACACAGCACACCTGTTCAGTTCCCCCTGCAACTTCTCAGAGGCCAGGAAGACCAGCAGGTTCCCTCAGGAATGTTCAGGCTGGCCTATGAGGTCCTTCTGCTGGAATCTCCAGGGGTTGAGGTCACTCCAGGATCTTCTATTGTTCTGTTCTTCTCCTCGGTACTCTCAGCTGCTGAAACCCAAACTCTTGCCTAGACCAGACGGGAAATGGAATTCCATGCTTTCTGTCAGATTTTGGAAATTTGCTCACAATTTTCAGATCCTGTTGCTCACTGACCCTAGCACTGACTAACTCTGGAGGAGCTGTGATTGAATTCAATGGGGAGGGAAGCCGTTTCCTTCCCAGAGTGCCATCTCTCCACTGGCATAACCCATTGCTCCTTTGTGAGACTGAGTCCCCTGTCCTCAAAATACTCAATTCATTGTCTTGGATGCAGCCGACCTTGACATAGACTATGTAGGCTGGTGGATGCCAAGGATCATATTTCACTCATTTCACTCTCCCTCATTCTCCTAGCACCTACCTAGTACCACCAGAGACTTGTGAAATAGAGCTTATTGTTTTCTCTGGTGGCTTGAATAAAACACTGTTCCTCCCCTTTTGTAGAGAAGGGTACTGGAGTGCCTACCTGGGGTCCCAAAGACATATGCTCTTGGGGTAGTTGGAATTTGGGATGAGGTTGCACTCAATCATCCCTATTATCTTGCCTGGATTCTCCTGCAATAGCATATTTGCTTCAGGAGTTTACAAAAGGTATAAAGTATGATCCATTGGGCTGGAGAAGAGGGGCTGAGTCTCTGTTTTGTGCAATCCATATTGGTTCTAACCCACTTCTAAGAGTCTATCTGGAGGCCTTCAAGGCCTCCCCATACTGGACATGGTGAGCATTGACCTGGCAGGTGGTTCTCCAGCAGTGTTCTGGGAGCATTGTTCTCCCTGGGCTACAGTGTTGATGTCTCCATAAGGCTGCCTGAGTGTCTTCAAAATATGGGGACTGGCTTCCTCCATAGTTATTGATCCAAAAGAGACAGCAAAGAGGAAACCACAATGCTTTTCATGGCCTACTCTGAGAAGTCACACTACTTCTCCATTCTACTCATTAGAAGGCAATTGATGTCAAATATGTTTAGAAAACTTGCCAACTATGTCATAGAGTACATGTGGATATTACATAAACAAACACAAAGCAGGTAACCAGTAAAGAAACCTATTTAAATGTATTAAACCAAAATGTCCCAAACATACATGACCACTGATTTCATTCCCCTTTCCAGCATATATTGCCCAACAGCAACCTGTGGAAGTATTTTCTGTGGATAATACTTTGGGAAACACAGGGATCCTGAAGCTCCAAGGGACCTTGGAGTTCACATGGAGTCCAGTTTTTCCCTTTAACTCGGAGGTCTAAATCAGTAGCTCTCAAAGTGTGGTCCCCAGACCAATGTCACCTGGGAATCTTCTGAAAATTCAGATTCTCAGGCACCACTCAGGCCTAGAGAATCAGAAGCTCTGGGGGTGGGGTCCTACAGGCTGCATTTTTAAGTCCCACCAGGTAATTTCAGTCTGAGAACCACTCCCAGTGGACTGAGAAGCAAGCTCAAGCCCCATTGTCTGGGTTTAATTTCTACCCCTGCTACTTAGTACCTTTGTGACCTTGGGTGAGCTTTCCAAATTCCCGTGTGAAATAGTATCCATCTCATGGGGTGGTCATAAGCATTCGGTGAATTAAAATATAGAAAGCACTTGGAGCAGTATCTGCAATGTGTTAATTGCCATTGTGTTCCTGATTATTGCCATTATTGAATAGTTCCTCTGAATTTACACTGAAAGGAAAAGTAGAGTGTTATTGAGACCTACTATGTGATAGGAACTAAGGTATGGGTTGGCAAGGGAGGGTTGCAAGTTGGCATCTTAAAATTCTGATATCTGATTACTGACCTTACAGAACACAAGACATTCCTGTGCCAGGAAATGTTTTGCACTGTGACATTCTAGGAAGTATCTTTTCATTACAAGCCATGGTGCTTCATTATAAACTACTGATTTTGTGAGATGAGGAACTCAGAGGGAGTAGGATCACTTCCAGCTGTATTTTCTGCACCAGCTTCTGGTAGTGACTGGAATCCCAGCTTCAGCTTCAGCAAATGGCTTTTGACTCCACAGAGAAGGCCCTCCTCTAGGCACTTGCACAGAGAATCTCCTTTCAGTTTGTGTTACAATAAACCCAATGACATAGTAACCTCTGCAATTTGACCAAGGTTGCTCTGTGGCAGAGCTGGGATTTGAACACAAAGCCTCCAACTCTCTGCCTAGTGTTCCCACCACAACATTAGGGTATGTTCCATCTGGAGGACCCTTAGAGAGAGAGCATCAAGTTCAACCAGCTCAATTTGCAGAGAGAAGGTTGAAGTGAAAGGGAGCCTGTAGCTGGCTTAAGGCTGTACAGCACTGGAGTGGATGGGCTATAGCAAAAGCTGAGCTCTGCTCCTCTAAACTCCGTGCCTTTCACTTCAAGACATGGTGAGTCCCCAGCCTGACTCCTGCGGTTAGACATAGTGTGCGGGCTGGCTCTTGCGGATTTTTCTATTCTTTTCCAATCATCATGCCATGAGGGAGAAGGACTAGTCACCTGAGGTGGGGTGGGTGTGGATTTGCTGTCAATGGCCTTGTCCTACCGCAGATGTCCCTCTCTGGGACACGCTTGGTTGAAAATCTGCAGAAAGCTCTGGGAAAGCCAAACAAAAGGTAAGTAGAATGGGCCACAGGGGGCCCATTAGCTTCCTGGAGCCTCACGGAACATTCCCAGGAGAGATCATTGCTGGGAGTGTGTGATCAGCGCAGGCACCATCACAGGCAGCTGCTGGCATATTAATATTCCAGATAAATGGCTTTTGGCTCAGGCAAAAGATCCTGCTTTGGAGCAGGTTTCTTTTTGAAGCTCCTAAGAGGGGCAGCTTGCAAAAGAAGGCGAAGGAAAAAGACAGCTTTGCAGAATGATTCCACTCAAAACCCTCTGCTCCCATCCATCTCTGTTTATTTTGTTCCTCTGCCTCTCCTGATTCATGGCAGGCTCACAAAAAAGGCGAGAGAGAGCTCAGCTGCACACATCCTCAGGGAGGAAGACAGTCGGCAATTACTCAGGACACTAAAGCGGCCGTCTGCACAACCCATCAGCTTTGGAGCCTCACCACATTGTGCTTGAATCCTAGCTCTGCCATTTCCCAGCTATGTGACCTTGGCTGGATCTCTCAACCTTGTTGAGCCTCAGTTTTCTTGACTGTAAAATGGGAGAGGATAATGTTTTCCTTAAAGGGTGGCTGAGGATTAAATGCAGCCAGGTGCTTAGCACAATGCCTGCTGGTAGGTGAAGGTAGGTGCCATTATCACAAAGGTGGCAGCTCAGAGCAAACAGAGCTAGCCGAGTGTCCTGAGCAGGGCTGGTGACATTTATTCCCTGCAGTGAACCTGTTCACTGGCTGCTGAGGGCCCTGCTTCTTGTGCTGGATCATCCGGAGTGTGTCCAGATGTTTCAAACTTAGGGAAACTCCAGCCTAAAGTCCTTTAAATCTAATTTTATAGGTTCAGAATCTGAGACCCAGAGAGTGACTTGCTCAAGCTCACATAGCAAATTAGATGCTAGAGTGGAACAAAGCCTTGTTTTTTCCTGTCTTTCTCGGCATATAAGATACATTCTCCGAAGGAGCCTTACTACTTGAGGCCTTTCTCTCTTTCCCTGAAGCCCTGCACTTAGAAAGGGCCATATTTGTCACTGCAGGTCTATGTCTAGCAGACCAGACCAGGCCAGACTGGCAGAGGGGGCATATGATGTAGATGTTCGCAGACCTTGTCTGCAGGGAGGTCACCTGGTGAGCTGTTCAGAAATGGGTCTCCAGTCCCACCCCTAGAGTAACTGGGGCGGGGAGCGGTGTAGGCTGGGTCCCAGGAATCTGTGTCCACAATGTTCCCCTGAGAGCTCTGTGAGGAAAAGGTGGGGGGCCTCCTGGCCTGGAAGGTCCTCATCCCCCACCACCAGGAGGGGTATTGCTCCTGATTCTTGGGTGACCCTGAGCAAGTTACCTGTCTTAGATTCAGTTTCCTCATCTGTGCCATGGAAGGCAAATGCTCCTTTTCTCAGGGATTGTGGGAGCCAAACAGAAAAATATGTGGCAGTGTGTCTACCCCAACACCTGGTTGGGGTAGATACATGAAATGCTTGCTCAGGCAAGTCCAGGAGTGCCCAGCACAGCACCCAGACCAGCATGTCCCATGGAGGGACATCACCCCATCTTCTGTGGTGACCAGAGGCAGGTTTTCAGTGCAGATCTAGGCCTGGACTGGGCCCCCAGCAGGGCTGGCCAAGGTACTGAGCCTCAGGATGTGGGATACAAGGCATGATAGACATGCAGAACAATGACAGCAACAATAGGGCAGTTATGTGTGCTTACCATGAACCACACATGCACCAGGCACGCTGGACAGTCAGTCATTTCTCCTTTACCTGGGACACAGGAGGGAGCCCCATTTGACAGTGGAGGACAGGTACCTAAGGGCCATGCCCACGGTCTCACAGGGGCATAATGCCTGGTCCCTCTAGCCTTGGTGGCTCCTGCCTCCAGCTGTGGAGGAAAGGGCTGCTGGGGCACTGAGGAGATGTTCCCCAAGGTGGCCGCCAGCATTTTGGGCTGCAGATTCAGGGACACAGGAGCTCAAGGCTCGGCACTGGGCCAGGGTTTGAGTAGGCAAGTCTCACACCTCTCACACGCTTGAGCCCCATATGTGTTCATGACCAGAAAAAGATGCTGCTCCAGGCCTGGCTGCCTCATAGAACCAGTGAGAGGGCCTCAGGAGAGGAAGAACTTGACAGCCCCTGAGGAATATAAAGCAATTTTCAATGTCAGGAAGAAGATGCTAAGGATACAGAAGGAGTGGGAGGAGAGAAATGCATTGCTCCAAGTCCAAGAAAATGATCATTATCAAAAGCCCAATTTGAGCTCTTCCATGTACCCAGCATGTCCAGGGCTGGGACATGATCCATTCACCAACAATATCCCATCCCCCTCAGCAAACACACAGTGCTGTCTCTGCCCTTTCCCCTGAGGACAGTCCAGTGTCTTGGGCACCTGTGCACCACTGCTCCTCAGCCATTGGGGACCACAGTGCATCCTGAGAGTTTCTCACTGGGACCAGACAGAGCTCAAGAGGGATGTCCCGACTTTTGGGGGTGGACGGCCACCAGACTAGGACTGATGCCTCATTTCTAGGAGACGTGCAGGAAATACCAAGGCCACTGAGGAGTGAATCACCATCTAAGTCTCCTGGAACTGTCAGGAGGAAGGAGCCTCGAAAAGATCAACCTGAGATCAGGCCAGGGCATATGCTTCACCTACTGCCACATGGTTTGCCAGGGCTTCATCCATGAGGTCATATTACTGTGCCTCTGAGTTTGATAGCAATCATTTAATTCTAAGAGTCTATGACCCTCCGGCATTCGGTTCCACCATCCATCCACTGCTTACCGGCATTCAGAGTATCCTTGGGAAGCAGACTTCAGTCCCTAATTGCATACCTCTCATCACAGGGAATCATTCTCTCCCTTGCCAGCCATTTCATCTCCCAATGGCTCTGGCCTTGTTAGAAAATTGTTTCTAGTGGGAGCTAATATGTCTGTCTCTCTGGGGACCCACCCGCTCTCGCTGTCCCCTTTAGAGATCTTGGAGGTGAAGTCTTGCCCTTCTCTGCATCCTCATGAAACAGGGAGTGACCAGAGACATGAGATGCACCATCTGTATCAAACTCCTAGGGAGCATTAGGCAATTTTGTTTTCACTCTTTTCTGTAGAACTTTCCCATCTCTTAGCAAATGAAGGCAGGTCTGATGCTGTTATTCCTATTTTATTGATGAAAACAATGAAGCACAGAGCAGGTAACTGAACATCGAAGGCCACGTGTTGATAAGTTGAAGAAGTGGACCTGAGATTCAGGTCATCATCCTCTAAGCCTGAGGCTATCTAGGATGTATTGTGTGAGGTTCAGGGTCTGAATTGCAGGGGGTTCTGGGGTGTCCCACTGTCCTTCAGGGAACTTGGCCTCGTCACACCTTTTCTGACCAGCACAGAGCCCCCTGCCCTGTGTGACCTTAGGAGCAGGGGACATTTTATTTCTTAGAATAGGGCCAGACAGCCCAGGCTGCTGGCTTTCCTCCAGCAATTCTTGGGGCTGCTTCAAGCAGAAATGTCTGGAAACTTGTGGAGTTCATGAGTAAATGGCTTCATGGAAGTGCCTGTTAAAATTTCCTCTGCTGGAGACTAAAGTAGACAGAGCCAAAGCCAGTGGGCCTCCCACCTCCCTCACGGTACCCCTGGGTCTCATTCCTCTTTCACTCCAGCCCAGCCCTGGAAAACCCACACCCTTGTCTAAACACCAGCACCAAGCCGACCCAAGCAGAGACCATATGTGTTAGATTATATTATTGTTTAAAATATTTGCTGGTCTTTTCCACGGAAGATTATTCCTCCCTACCCCATTAGGCTTGGCCATTTGATTTGATTTAGCCAATGAAATGTGAGCAGAAGTGAAGTGTGCTACTTCTGAACAGAAGTATTAAGAGCTATGGAGTTCTACTCTGTTTTTCCTCAGCCATGAGACTAGATATGCTCCAGATAGAGGCTGCTCCCTCTGCCCAGTACTGGAATGACAATGGCATAGAACAGAGCTGCATATCGTCAGAAAGGATATAGAACTCAAGTGAGAACTAAGCCTTTGCTGCTGTAGGTCACTGAGAGTTGAGAGTTATTTGTTACTGCAACATAACTTAGACAAGCCTGACTGATACACCAGACATGGCAGGAGGTAATGTGTTGTCAAGACAGATGGGCCCTAGGGTTCCTCCAGAGCAAATCTCCCATGACAAAAAAAAAAACCTCCCCATGTGGGAAGAGAGAGAAAATGCCTGCAGGTAGACCCAGAGGTGAGGGAGCTTTATTCCCCCAACTACCCTCTGCAGACTTCACTGACTCAGAATGTAAAAGGCAGAGTTTGCATTTGCCTCCATCTCCCCACACTTCCCCAGCCAGAAAGCTTATTTGGGGCCTCTGATAGGAATGATGTGATGCCCAATTTTTACTCAATTATTGATTTTTATCCTCAGGAGAAAATAGTTTGTGATCTTTAAATAAGGAAGGAAAACAGCTCCTGGAATTGATTCCTGAGTAATTTAATCACCTTTTGTCCAGACAACTCAGAGCTGGCTCAAGGATTAGCCACATATTGATGCATGTACTGAATTTCCAGCTATATCCACATGCAGAGGGACCTGGGGAGCTTCACTGCCACCCCTTCTCCACCCCTCTGTCTCTTGGGAGAAGCACTGTGCAGAGAACTGCTTTGGACCATACTACCTTCCAAAGCACCCAGACAGAGGAGTGGGAGGGCCAGTGAGACCACATCCATGCCTTCAAATACAGAAAGGAAACTGATGCTCAGAAAAAGCACACACCAAAAAATCTTGAGGTGCTGGGATGTGTTATGTAACAGTTTTCCTCATCTATGGAAGAGAAAACAATTGTCTGAGTGGAGATCAGGAGGCTGGGGTCTGACTCCTGCTTTCTCCCCCGCAGTTGCAGCAATACCTTGGCAAGCTGCTTGTCTTGGAGTCTCAGCGTTACTAACAGAAGGCTGGTTTCTGTCATTCATTTACTCAATCATTCACTTAATAATCACTTTCCAAACACCTGCTATCTACCAGACACAGCATATAGATGACAAAAACTAATGAAAGTAAAATGAGGTGTGGTATGTTGGAAAAGTGACCACAGATTCTTCCCATCTCTATGCCATTTTTTCATCAAGACGTAGAGTGTAGGTAGACTTGGCCATGGGTCTTTCTTGGCCATGTGAATTTCTTTGGCCAATAGGATGATAGTAAATGTAACATAGCAGAGACTTATAAAGCCCCTGCATATTGGGACTTCCTTCTTTCCTGTGCTTGTATCCCTGAGACCACCATGAGAATAAGCCCAAGCTAGTCTGCTGCAGGATGAGAGTCATGTGTCCCAATTCTTCCTATGTCTCATGCTGACAGCCTGCCAACCACTGGCATGTGCGCACAGCATACCTAGACTGTCCAGCCACCAGCCTACCCATCGACCGACCACAAATGCATGATGGTGCCCAGAAACAGTGGGCTACACCAGAAAAAACACACCCAGATGACCCACATAATTGTGAGCAAGATAAAATGATTGTTATTTTAAGCCATTAATTTTGGGGGTGATTTGTTACAGGGCAAAAGCTAACTGACACAAAAAGGAAGACATCCATTGAGCATCTTTTCATGGTAGATAAAGGCCCTTTACACAGATTTCCTTATTACATCTTTACTATAACCCTGATGAGGTAGATAATATGCACCTCACTTTACAGTTGAGAAAACCAAAGCTGAGAGAGGTCAACCCACTAGTCAGACCAAAGCAGTAGAGAGCCAGAATTAGAACTCGAAGCTAAGATGGGCATAACCTGCCAAGGAGGTACCTGCCAAGGGAAAGGTTTGTGCAGCCAAGTTTGAGTAGACTCTGCTTTGCAGGCTTGGAATTCTTGGTCTGTAGGCTATACAACCCACCATAAGGCTTCACTCTTGGTGCCCTGCAGAGCTGCATGCTGTGCAGGGAAAAAGTATGATGAGTCCAGAAAGCCTGAAAAAAGATGGGGTCATGATGAAAGATGTGGGGAGAAGAGGTCAAGGCAGTGCTTTGCAGCTGAAATGCCTCATAAGACCAGCTTATGGGAGCCTGCTTCTAAATGATCAATTCCAATCTCATTATGACCGCAGCTGCCATTAACTCAGGAGCTAATTGCTATTAGCTTACAGAAACTCAAGAGGGTTTAGCCGCAAAAATTTCATGACACGGGGCCATCTCACTGCTTAAATGGCCACATTCCTGTTATTAATTCCATTTGACTATTAGCTTATTACTGTTAAGTTATTATAACTTTGTATAAAGTCCTTGAACCGGATGTATGTCCTCCATGTACATTTCATTATGGGGCACAGAGTGCACCCAGAGGTTCGATACTTTAATTTTCATTTTTCTTTAAAGTATAGGCTTATTTAAAAGCATCAGGAAGGTTCTTGATTTGGAAGACAGCTCTGTAAGCAAAAGCCCTAACAAAAACCAGAC
The DNA here is from genome assembly GCF_000001405.40 of Homo sapiens. Taxonomy (NCBI): domain Eukaryota; kingdom Metazoa; phylum Chordata; class Mammalia; order Primates; family Hominidae; genus Homo; species Homo sapiens. The sequence goes on from NC_000010.11 coordinate 78,566,396, forward strand.
TTTGCTCAGCGTTTTGATGCAATTAAGGTCTTGGCAAATGTAGAGTGAGTCTGAACAGCAGAGCTGAGCCCTGGAAGGGCCCTGGGAAAGTCTGGTCCATTCTTACGTTACAGTTGGGGAAACTGAGGACTAGACAGGAGGCAGGACTTAGGTGAGAAAACATGCCATGTCAGCATCAGGCAGATGGCACTATCTGAAACAACCAGCTCTCTGTTTTAGATGAATTAAAAGTCTGCTGAAGATGCCAAGTATGTAAGATTACCCACACTAGACCATTTCAGCAGGGTCTGCAATCTTGCCTGTAAAAAATACCTACGTGCTAAGAAATGGGCCAAGATGCAATCATTCACTCCTTTCCAGTGGAGAGGCAGCTGGATGGAGAACTACATGACAGTGTGTAAAATTAGACATATTTAACGGGTGACGACAAGGTTCTCTCTGTCTGCGTTCAGAAGCCTCCCTTAACAAGATCCAGTTGGTTAGTTAAGAAAATAGGAGTGTGTACAATTACCAAGTTCACCGTTTGTTTTTGTTTAACTTTGTAGCTTCTTCCCAAGATGCCTCCAGGCATGTCTGGAAAAATATCAGCACTTGTCTGGGCCTGGGAGGTGTTCTCTAAATGCTCCATGGAGTTCCTCTGTGGTCAGGTCCAGGGGGCAGCTGGTAAGGAGGGGTTAGTGGGGCCAGGGCTCTGACACCAGCTCTGTCTCTCACTGGCTGTGTGGTTGTGGAGTGTCACGGTCCCTCCTTGGGGTCTCAGTTTTCTCATCTACACAACTGAAGGAGCAAAATGGAATGTCCTCAATCCTTTCCTCTTCCACATGTTTATTCTAAATCTCTTTTATTGGATTTTTGCTCTTAAAAGCATGGAGGAGGGAGGTGATAAGACAGAGCAAAGGAAATTGACAGCTCTTGAGTGCAGGGCTTTCTCTGGGGTCAGGGTTTCTGAAAGGATCCTAATTAAAGCCAAGTGAGCTCTTTCGAGTGAAGATCTCGGCAGAGTTGCTTGTTGACCTTGAGAGGTAGGGATTGCTGAGTGACAGAGAGAGAGAAAGACGAGAAAAGAGAGAGGCGAGGAGAAAAAGGAGTCAGAAAGGAATACAGAAGAAGGAGAAAGGGAAGTGGAGGGGGCAGTGGGGCAGGGAAGACAAGCAGCCTCAGATGAGGGAGAGATTTAAAGCAAAGAAACAAGTTGGTGAAAATCAGGGGGGAGGAGCAGAGAGCAGACAAGAATAAAAGGTAAGGAGGGACACAAATGGAGAAGCGGGGGATAGAAATGCACACATCTATCAGTTAATTTCCAGAGCATACAAAATAGAAATAATCCTCCTTCAAAGCATGCATTTGAGGGTGAAGTGGGAGACAGTATGACATGAAATGAAAGCCGGAAGCATTTTTCAATGCGGACACATAAGCAAGGCTTTAATTATTAACTGATTGCTTGTGTATGTGCGTGCATGTGCACACACACACGTGCAAGTAACAGGCCATTGTGTCCAGGCATTGTGAAACAAGCCACGGAATCCACTGGTCAGAGTCAATATTTCCTCAAAATGGCAGTCATTTAACCATTGTGCCTGTCTCTGCTCTCAGAATGTAACTAACATCTTAAGTCAATAGCTTTATGGAATCCCTGCAAATCCCTTCTCTCTTGCTGCCACCCTGGAGAGGCACAGTTGTGTGTTTTACCTGGAAATAAAACAGCTGCACCCCTAGGGCAGGCAGGTGAAGAGACAGCGATGATCTCATTGCCTGCCCAGCCCATTTTCCTCGTGACCCACGTTGCAGCTGGCATGCAGTCTGCAGCCCTCTGATTTAGCCAACTTGGGGTCCTCTTGCTCAATTGCAAGAGGACAGGAGCTGTGGGAGGCTGAGGAGGGAACCTGGCTCAGTGGCTCTGCCCCTTCCTCTTCTCTTGCTTCTGGGTCAGGTGATTTGGCCTCAAACACCACACAAAGATGAAATATTTTGTTCCCTCACTGCTCGGTAACTATTCTCCTAAGTCCCCGGAGTTTCTGAGCTGTGAAAACAAAACAAAGCCCATCTCAGGACAGCTGAGGCCCTTTTGCCCTCTTGGTTTGCCTTGATTTTGTTAGTTTCACCTAGAGGACAGGACTAGACACTGTGGTCCAAGTTGGGAAGATAAAATGTTGTCTGTTTCTGAAGCAAAAAAGCTGAGGCTGAGATAACAATTAGCATTGATAAGGTCCCTATAGGGGCTTGAAAGAGAACCCTGGCTTGTTTGTCAGCTTCCGTGTGAGGCTGTGAGCCCACTGGTCATGGTTAGCACTTGAGCTATCCCCTGTTTGTGGGTAAACCAGAACTCCAAGAAAAAAGCAGCTCTGATTTGTAGCATTCACCAATTTCCATGGTGTAAATACTCCCACTACAGCCAATTTCAACTGGTAAGTGGTGATGTCACAGAAGGAGGAGCTGGAAAGAGAAGAAGATATTCAGCTCTTGCTGTTCTGGGAGGAAGTGGCCCCAGCACACCACTGTTTGGAACCATTTTCTCAGGGCTTCCTTCCCCTGCTTATAACTTTCTTCATTACAGGGCCCATACTGTTGCCCATGAGTTCTTCTAAAATGTGGGCATGATCGTGGTGCTTCCAGGGTTATAAACCATCAATGGCTCCCTATTGTCTATGAGATAAAACCTAAGGTTCTTAGCCCAGTATTCAAGGCCTTTTTAATTTGGCCTCACTCTTATTTTTTTTTTTCAGTCAGATACATGACCCATGTAATATGCACCATATTTGGACTCTGATGATTGCTCTCCTGTTCTCACTCCCCTGGATTATAAGTTCCTCATGGGCAGACAGTCTGTGTTCTTCCTTTTTGCATCTCCAGCTCCTCACATGTTGTATGTGCTCCCCAGATGTTGCAGGAAGGAGGGGAGGGAAGGCCCTGAGTAATATTGGTTAATGCTGGACCACTGGCCTTTCCCTACAGGGCCTGTGCTCACCAGTTCCTCCATGGCTCTTGGCTCTTGCCCACCCTCTGCCCAATGTGCCCCCCCACCACTTCCTCCACCATCAAACTCCAAACCCACGTCTCCTGGCTCTAGCATCAGCTGTGCATGGGGATGTCTTCTCCACTGCCGATCCATCCATTCCACAGCAGACATGAGTTGAGCTTCCCCTACATGCCAGAAGCAGCTCCTGGCATGTGCTGGGGAAACAGCTATGGATGAGACAGATGACATCTTTGCCCTCCTGGAGCTGACACATGGGGGAGATTGATGATCAAAAGAACAGCAGCAATGCCCCGAAGCTAAAGGGCACAGGAGAAAGCTGGAGCAGAGAGGGTGTCGCACGGGCTCCGGTTTGATAAGAACAGCAGGGCAGGCGTCTTGAGGAGCTCTGTGAGGGGAAGCATCATGTCTTTGTCTCCCCCATGGGGTCTGGCCCCTTGTGCCTCCTCCAGGCCTATCTTGTGGATTCTTTCATTCATCTTACATAGTCAGAACATCCCTTATGAGGCTTCTTCCCCTGAAGAAGTGTGCTTCAGTCTGTTTCATCCTGAGAATGGCCCCGTCCTTGACCTTAGCTCTCTCTTGAGATGATGCACTCTCGTTCTCATCTTGTCTGCACAGCTTTCCTGCTGCTCCTTTGCTCTAACATCCACTCCTAACCGCCACAAAATCCAGTCCCAACCATAGTCAGTGACCCCAAAGCCCCATCCAGGCACTTCTCAGTCCTTCCCTTGCAGGGCCTCTGTGGGGTTGGACCCATTGAGCATCGCCTCCTGCGGAGACTCTCCCCATCCCTGGACTTGCCTTTGCTCCCCCAGGGTCTTTTTTCTGACTCCTCTGCTTCACTCCCAGGACATCAACCTCCACCTCCATCTATAAGCAGGTGCACCCTCAGCCCACACCTACAGTCAACGCCTCTCTCCTGAGCAATGGGCTACAGAACCAGCCCTCTCATGGCCATCTCCCGCCTTGAGTGGCCCACAGGCCTTGGACATCAGTGGGTGTGATCGTCGCTCAAATCAGCCACTCTCCTCAGGTCCCTGCTCGTGAATGGGTCCACCGGTCAGCCAGGACCCCAGCAAAGAACCTGGGTGCCACCACAGACTCCTCTCTCTCCCATACTTGCCTCAATAATTCAGCAATTCCTGCTGCTTTTATACCCTAACTTATTTTCAGGTTTATTTCTCCATTTCCACCACTGCCCCCGTATTTGTTATTCAGGGCCTCACTTCCTCTCACCTCCTAACAGATTTCTCTGACCCAGGCTGGCCTCTGATTCACATAAAACCTCCAGAATAATCCTTCAGAAACAGAAGTTTGCCCACACCCCTCCCTGTGTAGACCCATCCTGTGGCTCCCTGTAGCCCACAGTGGAGGCCCACACTCCCAGGCCCGTCCCGCAGGCCCTCCGGGGCCTGGTGCCTGCCTGTCTGCCTGCCTGCCTCTCACCACACCATCCTCACTCTGCCTGGCCCTCGGTATTCCAGGCACACCCGGCTCCTTGTCATTCCATGCACTCAGCAGGCTGTTTCATGGCTCAGATCCTGTGCTTACTCAGGGTCCTCTGCCTGGAATAGCCCGACTTTCTCCCCGAGCCAGTCCACCTGGCTCACCCTTCCTGACTCTGCACCTCTCAGCTCAGGCATTCCCTGCTGCCAGAAACTTCTCTCACTGACAACCCATCCCTGAACAGATCCCACAGGACAGACTGCTCTCCCTGTTCTGTGCACCCCCCACCACACACACACACCATACTGTAATTCCCTGTTTGCAGGCATTTCTCCAGATTGTGAGGGGAGCACACAGCCATGTCATACTCATCTTTCACCCTCCATGCATAACTTATATTGTTCACTTGAAAAGTCATTTGCTCAACTAGTTCAGTGCCAGGCACCTGGTTAGAAGACGGGAAAGAAATGTACACTTGGCAGGGAAGCAGGAGAACATCATGGTTCCTGCCTTTCTGTTTAAGAGCTGTGTACCCTTGGTAGGTCCTCAACCTGTCCGGGCCTCTGTTCCATCACCTGTAAAATGAGCTGATAGCAAAGCAGCTCATCAGCGGGTTGCAGGAGGATTCACTGAGATGTGCACCGCTGAGCGCTTTGAACAGTCAGCTCCTCTTGTTATTCCCGGCACACTGTGGGACCTGCTCATGGACATATGTTATTCCACTCTCTTTTCATAAGGCTCTAGTGAAATAGGTGTTGTTATCCTGACTTTCCCTGTTGGGGAACTGTTGGCAGAGGCTGAGTGGTCTCCCAGGTCTCCCACGCAGTCAGAGATGGAGCAAAGTGTCACCGGCTCTGTCTCTCTGCTCAGAACACCTTGGGGTTGCTCCTCTGCTGACCTGATTTCAAGGGAAAGAGAGACCCTCCATGGAGTCTGAAGGAGACCATTTCCTGCAAGCCAGAGAAAACCCTGTGGTGGGCAGCCACCTGAGGACACAGGGCACTCATTGTCCCTTGGGTAACTTCTCCAATGCCCACAGAGCTGACGGGAGAGTTTCTGGACCATCACGGTTCACACAGGAAAGCTGGATTGTGTGTCTTTAGGGGAACCTCACCACCCCTTGGGGTGATGTCTGAGCTGACAGTCTGGCCAGGTGCCTCTCACACAAAGCTGCTTCTTCCCCATCAGACGGACTCCTGGGCAGGGAGTGGGTGGTGGGGCACAGGTGGGGCTTACCTGACAGGGCCTTTCCAGCAGGGTCCCCTTGGGGTCTAACTGGCCTCTGCCCTATGCTTGCTGTGTTGGCAGGATGCTTGCTTGGATTTCAGCACCTGGCCCCTCACTCAGCATGCCTGCCCTCAGAGTTCATGTGCAGGGATAAATGCCCCTCTATTTGGGATCTAGAGGTGCCTGGCAGGGATTCAGCCCCTGTGGGGTTTCCTGTTCTTCCAGGAGCTATGTCCAGTGGAGCCTCTGGCCTCACACAATGCTGGCCTCCCAGTTTGGCATCCTCAGCACAGCAAAGTCCCCAGGAACTGTTCCCATGGGATGCCCAAGTAGTGGGGCCCCCAAGACCTTTGGGAAATCCACCCTGTGGGGTCACTTTCCTCTATAAACAGCCAAGGTCAAATGATACATGTGTTTCTGATTTGGGAGGACTGGGCACCAGGGTTGGGGAGGGCGCTGATCAAAGGGTCAGGGAGCTGGGAGGAAGCCTGTTTAGAGAATGGGGAGATGGAAAACTTTTTTATTTCCTAATCAGTCAGCAGAAGAGATTTTCTGAGGGGGTGCCTCTGATCCCAGAGGGAGTAGAGGAGCTGATGCCAAGAAAAAGGCCCCAGCCCACAGTCCTGGGAACAGATTCCTGGCTTTGCCCTCATTCATTCCATGGCCTTATGCACATCTTGTTTCCCTCATGAGACTTTGTTTCCACATCAGCATGCTGGGAGACACACCCAATTAATCAATTTCCCCATTTGTTATTTATGAGTGTCTGTGGATCAGGCCCAGTGCCAGGTACTGGAGACAGAGAAAGGAAAGTCTCAGCCCACAGTCTCAGTGCTCTGGGGAACCGGGCCATCAGCTCCACTCTGAGCAAGGGAAAGGCCAAGAGGAGCTTTGCCCAGGTATGTGGAAACACAGAGGAGGGGTTTTTTGATGGGTTTGAAGGTGGCCCCCAAAAGATAGATCCAGATCCATGGACTCCTGGTACCATGAATGTGACCTTCTTTGGATAGAGGGTTTTTGCAGATGTAATTAACTTACTGAAGTCACCCTGAATTATTCAGATGGGTCCTAAATTTGGTGACACATGTTCTAATAAGAGATAGAAGGGGAGAAGACACAGACACAGGGAGAAGACAGCCATGTGAAGGCAGAGACGGGAGTGAGGCATCTACAAGCCAAAGACTGCCGGCAACCACCAGAAGCCAGGAGAGAGGCCTGCAACGGGTTGTCCCTCACACCCCTCAGGAAAAGCCGGCAGGCCAACACCTTGATTTGGGACTCCTGGCCTCCAGAACTGTGAGAAAATGGATTGCCACTATTTCAAGCCACCTGGGCAGTGGTGCTCTGGTGCAGCAGTCTATGGGCAACTGAGTGTCTAACTCACATCCAGGAAGGTTGTCTTGGGAGGTTTCTGAAGCAGCGGCATTAGAAATGAGTCCTGAAGTTGGAGTAGAAGGTCATCAGGTTGCAGGGAGGTGGGCAGAAGGCCTTCAGGAGGCCTTACCGGAGCGTGCACAGGCATGAGGCAAGAACAAGCACTGCGGGGGCTGAGGACAATGATCCAGTAGGACTGGAGCCTGGGAGCCTGCAGAAGACAGCGTCAAAGATAGGCCTACTCTAAAGATGGTACTCTGTTGACCCAGAGTCTGGATGTCATTGTGAGGGTAATGGGCTCATTAAAAGTGTTCAGTAGGGGAGTGCTCCAGTCAGGTGTGCTTTGGAAAGGTTTCACAGGAACCCAAAGAGAAGAATGGATCCAGAACTGACCCGTCCAAGACTAGGAGGTCTGTTTGGCAACAATGCCAGCCTGGAATGGTGGGAGATGGAGTGGGCAGAGGCGAGGCAGGCACAGAGCCCAGGGGATGGGAGGACACAGGGGGAGGAGACACCATCAGCAGAGCCTGGACTGCCTATTGTGGGGCACTCTAGGAGGCCACCCAACTAGGGGTCTGGGTGATGGCGTCATTCCACTTACTGAACCATGGAGAGAGAGTGGCCTCAGGGGTCCACGATGAGTTAGGTTTGGGGACATGTTGCATCTTCATGCGATTGCTAAGAGGATCAATGGACTATAACATATGCAAAGTGCCCAGCACAGCGGCCAGCCAGTGGCGCTCAATATTTATCAGGAGACTGCAGAAACAGGCCCGAGGGAGGGACTAGACACTTGTCTCCATCTCCATGCCTGGCACCATCTGCAGTGCTGGGCACAATAGGTGCTCAATGAATGCCCACAGAATTGAAATATGGGCTGGACCTCAAACACCATCTGCCAGGCCATCATAAGCCCAACACTTTGCAGCAAGAGATTCACCCCACAGACCACATCGACATCCACGCAGTTGCAAGGAAATCAATCGGTCTGGCTCCAGCTGTCGAAACTAGGAGCCAAGAGGAACCCTGGACAAATAGTCTTCGGCTCAGCACTTTCTCCATCTGGAAAGAAAACCAGGTGGGGGCAGGGGAGGAACACCAGGCCATCAGAAGGTTATAAGTCCATAAATAAGAGATTTGTGGTAAATAAGCTGGCGAACATATCCGCTGGCTGCTCTTTTTTATCACTCACCTAGACAGCAAAATTCCCCCGCATCTTTTCTGCAGGCCAATAAATATCCTTCAAGGAGCCTGTATTTACATAGAGAGCAAGGCGGGTGCCACTGCTCCACAGGCCCCATGTCAAGAAGGAACAATGTATGGCCCTAAAGAGAATGGCTGTGCGGGGAATCAATGCAAATGCAGTTTCTTTTCCCAGGGTGATGCTCCTGAGCAGGGTTCAGCCCGAGTTCAAGGATTGTGCTCAGGCGGGTGCTGAGGGGACCTTTACATGGAGGAGGTGAATCTCTCCCCTAGGCAGGGTCCCCAGCTGCCTCAAGCCCACTCTGGGGCTCTGCACCCAAGACCCTTTCTCCAAAATGAAAGAGGCCTAAAGGTTATACTCTGGGACCTCTAGATCAACCACTGGGTGTTATGCCACAGAAGGATTCATTAAGGACCTACTGTGTGCCAGGCGCAGTAGGTAAATGGAAACAAGGACAGACAAGGCTCCTGCCTTCCAATCAGAGAGCTGGGATTGAGTGGCTTCGCCCAGTAGTGGGGAAGGCTGGTCAGAAGGGCTGGCATATAAGCTGACACACCCAGTGGGATTTGAACATGAGCAGAGGAGAGAGGGTCCTGAGTAGAGACCATGGCCTGCTCAGAGCACCCCAGGTAAGAGACATGGAAGCAAGGTGCCAGGAGGAGGTAGAAGGACATCTGATACCTGGAGCGCAGTGGGTGAGAAGAAACCAGGTGAGAAGAGGGACTAGAAAGAAAGCAGATGGCTTTCTGGGATGTGGCTCCTGCAGACTCCTCCAGCCCTCAGGGACTTTTTTTTGTATGGGCAGTGGGAGGCTACTTCAGGTTCTTAGTTAGGAGAATGACATTCCCAGAGAGCTCTCATTACTAAAAAAAGCAATCAACAATTTTTCTCATGACCACATGCTCTGGGTATTGTCCCCTTCATCTTGGAATAATGCCCAGCACACAAAAAAGTGCTTAATAAATATCAGCGGAACCACTGAGTCAACGTCTGAAATCCCCCACAGAGCAGACCTCGCAAGCATATTTTCTATTCGAGTGACCCAGGAAAGCGGTGCTATGGGCAGTGTTTTGCTTTCTGCCTGGGAGGTGAAGGGGGGCGATGTGGTGGCAGTTGAGTGACTTGCCCAAGGTCATCCACAGGCTTAATGGCTGAGCTGAGATTGGATTTCAAGTGTTCTGTTTGTTAAAAAGAGCCCAACATGATGCAGCTTAAAAAGAGGGCTAGAAATAAAAGTGGGACCAAGACATAGAAGACAGAGAGAGAGGAAAGAAGAGCAAGAAGGAGAAACAGGCAGATGTCTCATCTTCCTGTACCTGTACCACTTGGGGCTTTATTTACAGAACTTGGTGTAATCATATAGGATGTAACATCTTTTAAACATTTACCAAACCAAGAGCATAAGCTTTTAAACCTACACATGCATTCACATTTGACCATGGTACATTGTTTTACTTTATGAAGAATGGCGAACACTGCTTTGTGAACATCTGGCTGGTCTTTTTTCAAAGCCAGATGTGGTAAACGAAAAAAGACAAGTCCATAGGCTACACCTGCCAGGAGCAATGACCAGGATTTCTTAAACCATGTACATGTTATTCCTTTTGGACTCAGCTGAAGATACTTGCTCCTGCTCCAGAAAGCCTTAGAGTTTCTAGAAGGCTGAAAAGCAGGAAAGAGAGAAGCTCCTGCTTTTCAGTCCATAGCAATGCAGGGAAATCAGATGGGGTGACATGTCACAGACGCACCCACCTCAAGTTCAAGGGGAAGGAAGAAGGAGGCCTTGCTGTGGCCTTCTGGCCTGTGCAATATTTGCAGCCAGGCCGTTAGAGAAGAGCCACACGGGAGCCTGTTGGAAGGGCTGGCAGCTGCGTGCTTTTTCCGTTGTTGATAAGGGAGGCATTTCCTAAACCTGCCACTGGCCCTTTGTCTCCTTGCATGTATACAGGTTGAACATCCCTAATCCAAAAATCCAAAATCCACAATGTCCCAAAATCTAAAACTTTTGAGCACCAACATGACCCCACAAGTGGAAAATTCTACACCTGACCTCATGTGACAGGTCCCATATATTACTAAAAGTATTGTATAAATTACCTTCAGGCTGTATGTGCATGGTATATACGAAAACATACATGAGTTCTGTGATTAGACTTGGGTCTCATCCCCAAGATATCTTATTATGTATATTCAAGTATTCCAAAATCCCAAAACACTTAAAATCCAAAACACTTCTGGTCCCAAGCTTTTCAGATAAAGGATACACATCTGGTGCAGCCTGTCAGAGCTCCTGGGGAAGAGGAGCTGGCAAGAGGATTTGGATGTAAAGCACATACCATATTAACAAAGCAGAAACCTCATGGTCAGCTTCTGGGCTCTCTCCTGGTGATCATAGCTGGCTAGTGATGTTGGTAAATAGATGACTACTGGATAGAGGGGCAGTCAGGGAGGCAGCTGGCAAAATTTAAAGTGTGACTGGCCTTGGACACAGGATAAAATCTGGTTGCTCGAGCCCTGACTCTATCTGTGATTGCTTTGAGACTTCAGGCAGGTCATTTGCCCCAGTAGGAATTAGAATCCCCATCCTGTTGTTGTCTTCATAAGGCAATTGTGTGGTTGCAGAATGAGTACCAGTGTGAATATTTGGAAAACTGTGATGCGCACTGTACATACGTAAGAGAGAAGTGGTGTGTTATTAGGCCGTTGGCAAACACTTACCACTGTACAAGACCTGCTAAACTTCCTTTCAGAGGCAGGCTTCCCAAGGGACAGAAACCAGTCAGCACCCTGAGCCCAACCCAGGCTTTAGGCTGAGTTGGAAGCCTGGGCAAGGAGAGAAGGGAACTGCCCCATCTCCGGTGCTAGGAGCCTTGGAGAATGCTCGTATATACACAGCCTGCACGCACACCAGCCTCCATGCCTCCCTGGGCACTGAGGGTGGGGCTGGGCTGGGCACAATCACTTCTTGTCCCCCTTAAGGTCCTCTAAGGCTGCCCTCTGCTCCTGCCCTTCTCTCAGTCATTGATCACTTGGACAGATATTTGGTGGGAGGATGAGAGAGTCCTGGATGCAGAAATTCTCTTGGTTCCTTCAGTAACTCCATGATCAGCAGCAAGCTGAGACAGCCAAGTGGGAGGGTGTCCCTGGTGAAACTCCAACCAGCCTGTCCACTGAGGTGAGCCTTGGGAAGTTTATGGGATGTTTGCAACAGGGAGGAGCCTGGCCCCTCCTCTTCCTGTGTGGTACCTGGAATTCAAACAACCGATGGGAAGTGCTCCAGCAGGGGACTCTGGCCTTGCCGAGGATCGCTATTTCCTCTTTTCTGTTCCCCTTTTCATCCAATAAGACCCTGCTTTACTCACCCTTTAAACCATCTGCAAGCCTAAATTTTTGTGTCCGTGGGACGGACAAGAACTCTGTCTTTAGCTAACTAAGGAAAAGTCCTGCAACAAAGCTATTTACTTTTTCTGCACCATAGTGTGTAGGATCCATGCCCTGATTAATGCACAGGGTTACCTTAAGAATCAAAAGAGAGCATGGGTATGAAAATTGTTTATAGGCTTGAAATATCCTTACACGTGTTTATAGGTTTAGGGCTATCCCATCATAGTCCCTACACATAGGCCTGGGCCAGAGAACTAGAAGTTGTTTAACTTGGTTCTTAGATCCAACTCATGCCTCATTAAATACCAATCAAGGTAGTATGGAATAAAAAATTTCATGCTAAATTCAATATGAGTTGAAAGATAAATATTGACTGGATATCCAGACAAAGCCAAGTTCCCACCTCCCCTAGACACTGATGCTGAAATCAGCCATCTCAGGTTTATAAAGATCCTCAGCAGCCTCTCCACAGAGCTGAGACCCCTGTAAGCAGCTGTAGAGGTGGGCTCTGGATTTTAGAAATGAGACTAGGATTTGTTTACGGGTACAGACATCTGAGTGGTCCTTCAGTCTCTGGCCCCACTCATTCTGCAAGGCAGCAGCAGCATCCCCAGCATGACTTAGAGTTTTCCTTTCTGTGAGAACATTCCTGGAGTCCTTCCATCCCTGTGACTCTTTGGTCCCTCAAGTTGGATGGGGACATCTTCTCTTAGGGGATGATTTTCATAACATTGTCACTTGCTGGTGGGCCCAGTAACACCTTTGTAGTCAGTGCTGATCATTATGTACTCATTTGAGATTTGCTGCGGCAACATTGTTTGTAATGTATTTGGGTGAGGAAGGGTGTTAAAGAGGCTGTCACAAAGTCTCCCTCTGGTAAAACGCAGGCAGTTTGAACATGCAAACTTCCCCTCATGGCAGCTTTCCCCTTTCCATTCAGTGCTTCTTCAGAGGCCCACTTTTTCCAGACACGGCGCTGTGATGACTGGTAGGAGCCACGAGGATGGCTGCGTGGGGAGCCTTGGTCCTGTCACTTCCTCTCTGCATCTGTGGACAAGTTGTTCCCCTCTAGGTGACTCAGATTCAACATCTTGCAAATGTCATTCTCAGAGACCTGAGATGATGATTCACTGAGATAAAGGACGTGAAAGTGCTTGCAGGATGTTAATTGGCTATAATCATTGTTAGCATTGCTGCTGGCACTCATGGACTTCCTGCAGCAGGCCTTGTTCTAAGCACTCTACATATGCTAAGGTACACAGTCCTCGTGACAACTCTTCTACATGGGCCATCATTTGTCCCCATGACATGGATGAGGAACCAGCTCTAATGAACCAGCACGGTTGCCCTTGGCCAACAGATATGGGATGTGCTGTGGGCCTCCTAGGTGGGAATACCCCATAAGGCTCAAAGAGCAGGTCGTATTTGAGAGGAGTATTGAAAGGTGAAAGGAATGTCATGTACTTAAAACCAATGGAAGCTGCCTCATATTCCAAGGGATGATATGGACATGTAGGGAGTGCCTGAGTTGGAGCACGAGATGAGCATATGTTGAGGCAGGGAAGAAGAATGTTGCTGAGGCCAGAAAGGCATTTTGTGCCGTTATGCAGGCACTTTTCTGCTTTGTTGCCAATATCACCCAGTGTTACAGAAAGGACCAAAAGCAGCATTCTCATACTGTCTAATTTTGCTCAGAAAGAGTGGCAGAAAATTTGTATCGCATCCAAACTGGTCTGTTTTTGGCAGCTGCGGGTCCCACATCCAGGAGGAGAGTTAGCAATTCTCTCATCAAGAAAATCTCCCCAGGGACCTGGAAGCAGCTTTGCCCAGTTCTCTGGCAGGGATACCAGAAGCCATTGCTGCCAGAAAGGTCGTGGTCTCTCTAAGGCATGGCTCTCCATGGCCGAGACCCATGATGATGAGGTACTCCTGCTCTGGAAGGGTCTTCCTCACACCTGCAGCTCATGAGAACCCTCCAAAACTGCTTCTAAAGGATGTTGGTGACATCAGGTGGTTAGGCCCATGACCTGACTCCCTGAGAAGGTGGTGAAAAGGGCGGTTGTCTAAACCACTTTCCTATTTAGATCCAAACTATGTGGACTGTCCTTCAATGAAAAAGAGGCTATCCATACTCCAAGCTCTTGCCAGAGAGCTCAGCCTGGAGCCAACTGCTGGCAGGAAGCCCAGCTGAGACAGTGGAGAACAATGGCTGCGCTTCTGCACCACTGCACACTGAAAGGCTGTTTCCACACACGGCATCTCAGGGCCATCTCTCCAGCCACCCCTCTAAGTGGTTCTTAGTTTTCAGTTCATAGATGCCTAGCGGGTTAATAGATTAATAAATGAGATTTAGGGATCCATGAACCCCTCTATAGCTGTATGCAAAATGTTGAGAGCAGGTATGTTTTTCTTAGGAGAGAGGCTTTAGTTATTGGTTTTTATTTATTTATTTATTCATTTTTAAATCAGATTCTCTAAAGAGGTCTCTGACTCTAAAATGGGTTAAGAACCTCCACTCTAAGGATGGATGAGTTTGGTCCTTATATTATGAAAGTGACCAAAGAAGCCACCCGTCCTGACCTTATTTATTTAGGTCCTGCTCTGAGATGTTTGTTAATATTATGGTCCAGCTGTTACCCAAAGTCAGATGAAGAAATTTCTGGATCTTCTAGTTAACTCCTATTGAAGACATGATCCATTAGATCCATTAGAGTATTTGGCACCAACCTGGGACCCAAGTGATACATTCTTTTTATAAATTGGCACTAGGAAAAACTTTGTACCTTTTGATGATGGGATGTATGTCTTTCTTTTTATCAACTGTTGAGAACTGTACGACTCAAGATGTTTGCCTCCTTTCTCTGGCTGCTGGGCTGCTGTGAAGTTCTGAGTTATATTTGATGTTCACTTAGTCAATGGTTACATTTGATGTGCATTTATTCAGGATTTTTGCTGATCTCCTGTGTTCTAACATCAGATAAGCACAGGGGAGAGAGGATTGAACAAAATAGAGGTGGTCCCTGCTGTAACACATGATGTTTAGCCCCCGGTTTTTGTGCATGTAGTTTTCTATTCCACTGCAGATTGTGAATAGTGGTGATCACCAACACCCAGTGTCCACTGTGTCCAGGCATGATCTAACTGTTTACATATATGAATTAATCTAGTGTCCCTGAGACACAATGACCTTAAGAGGTAAGTACTATTATGACCATAGTCTAAATATGAAGAAACCGAGGAAGAAAAAAGTTAAGCTTCTAAAGTTCACAGTGCTAGCAAGTGGCAAAGTCAACATTCAAAGCCCTTGGCCCCAGGCTCTGCACTTAGATGTGGAACTCACACTTCCATCCTCACCTTGCCAGCTGCTTTGTTGGGGCAATATTGTGTGTTTGTATGATGTAATTCACTCTATGGAGCATTTTACCCCCACTGCTGACTATAGTCCCTGATTTGCCTTTGTTTGGTAAATATTGCTCTTCCCATTGCTGAGATAGCAATGTCGACGTTCAGAAAGGTGAAGCAATTCTGTGCCTTTAAGGCCAACCTAGCCCCCAAAAATCAAGCGATCTGAGCCCAAGCCCAGAAGGCCTTCTTCCCACTAGTCTCACTCCTTTTCTCCTAATGCACATTTATGTGTCATTATAAGTGGCCCCAGTCCTGTGCAGGGATGCAAAAAGAAACAATACTTGGTGAATTTCATTTGAATACTAAGTGGAGAAGTGTCCAGTGGCCTTTGTTGGTTTTGTGACTTTGAAGATCCTCCAGTGCTGGTTAAATGTAAGATTACACCTGGTTAACACCAAGAGGAACCTGGAAGATCATTGATCTAGAAACTTCTGAAAGTTTTTTGGGAGGATAAAGTCTCCTCAGAGAATCTTATGCAAGTTATGGACACTCTTTTTCCAACCCAGTTCCCTGATCCTCATTCTTGTTTTGACAATTTTAATGATACTGTGACATTTCAGGATAAATTGTCATTGTTTTCAGAAAGAGCTTTCAGAAAGGCTCATTGCTTGTTTTCTGCGACTCTAAGCACCTTTCTCCTTGTCACTGAGTGGTGGAATATTTTCTTTTTTTTTCTGCAAAGGGGAAAAAGGGAAGTGTAATTTTCAACTCTCAGCGTAACTTGTCTTTGATTAATGTATATTGTAATCATCACAGAATACACAGCTGTCTATTAACGATGGAACCAAATGAGTTGAATAGATTATCAAAGAGCAGCAGCCCCAATTCCACTCTAAGGTACATGCTTGTCTTTAGAACATTAATCTCATTACAGGTTTAAGTCTGATTCCAATTTCCCTGACAGTCGGCAAGAAGGAGAGGAAGATTGATCAAATATGCCAGGAGCAGAGAGAGCGCAGATCTCAATGGGGCTGAGGAAAGAGAGCAGCATGGTTTCTTTTTTAAATGATTATTCCAAAGGGATGAGAAAGGCGGAGAAGAGATTCAAGGAGCATTGAGGATGGGTGGCAGGGTCCTGGGGTGAGCAGGCAGGTGACAGGAACAGGCAGAAGGGGCTGCCAGGGAAGTGGGTATCTCTGGGGCATTGCTGGTGAGGAAGAACCAAGCTGGTAGGAGGCAGGAGAGGGATGAGGGATTGTGGCAAAGTCACCAGAGCCAGACCTTCAGCCACACATCCCTCAGAGGCCCTTGCACATAGCACAGAGTGGAGTTCTGGACTTGAATTACTGACAACTCAATCCCACACCTGGAAGAAGGCCCAGGCTCTGCCACAAAGCTGGCCTGGAACTCCAGGGACAGAGGCCATAAAGCAGGTCTTATTCTAATTTGCTTGAGAGTGACCCTGAGGGCCTTGACCTCAACAGTCTCATTGATCATGCTTATACCCAAGCCACACAAGCCCAAGGAACTCCAGCACTCCCAAATACAATCCACAGCTCTTTTTCCATATCATGCCAGATCAAATTCTTAACACAGTCAAACTCTTTAGTGTCCCAAACAAGCTCCATACCATGTGCACAGCCACCCACATTTATACCCAACCTGAGTGCAAATTTTGAAAAAGAAAGTTGTGCAGTTCATTCTCTATCTTCAGCTACTCCTGAACCAGCCTGGGCATTCATCTTCATTCTTCTCCCCCAAATACTTCACTTTCTAGCTAAACCTACTCACTGTTCCTCAAAATCACAGATGTTTTTTGTATTTCCATTCTTTTGCGTATGCTGGTCCCTCTACAAGAGCACTCTTTTTCTCCTCATCCATCAGAAAACCTTCCTCTTAAAGTTCAATGCCCATCCAGCAGTCATTGAAGCAGGGTAATGGCCTTAATTTAGCCCCCTTGTAACAGTGATCTTCCTCGTACAGTCAGATTTCAGTGCACACTCTCTCTTGGCCACTTGTACACCCACATTAATGCCGCTACCATGTAGGGTGAGAGTCAAAGGTCCACCTGTCTACCTCACCTCCTTGTCTGTGAGTACTCAAGGATGAAGAGTCTGGCTTGTGAAACTTTGGTATCCTAAAGTCTATCATGGGGCAATAGTAAGTTATTAGAATAAATGAAGGGCCACACTCAGCTTTAAAAATCTTTCCAGGTCCCCCCTCACCTGCCCCACCTGCCAGACTCAGTGCCAGATTTGTTCACTTGCCGGCTCTTGATGAGATGAGAGGGGTGTGTTTCTATCCCAAGGGACAGAAAGGACAAGAAAATAAAACTTAGAAGGATTGAGCAAGGTGTCCAAATCCCAGAGTTCATAGGTGGCAGAACATTGAGCTTGGTCTTCTTGAGTCCAAACTCTGTCCACAGTCCAATATCACCTCTGAGACAGTTAAAGTTCATAGGCTAAATGTGTGTGGTTCAAGTTTTGTTTTAGACAACACTCCAGGAGCTAGGCCAGGACTAGTGTGAGGTGAGAGAGACACAACATATAAGGAAGTGCTCATTCTCAGGTGCCAACCCTGCATTTGCAGCAGGGTGACTGCCTCCTAAAGTTCATGCCCTAGGCTCATCATTTATCTCACCCTAGCCTCTGCCCTGCCAGGGACACATATCAGCTGTGTAGAGAGGAAGAGCCTTTTGTTTTGCCAAATATTTGGGTTTCTGGGTTGGCTATTGTTTTACAGGTTCATGGATGATCCTTCCTGAGCACCAACTCTGTGCCAGATACTGGGGACAGAAAGGAGAAGAAATCAAGGTGAAATAGATACAGAGCCTTGCTGTTGTGCCAGAGGTCAACACACACACATACACACTCACGTACACACACACATACATACACACACACACACACACAGAGCTGCCCCTCCTGCAGCTATTCAAAGGTAGGCTTCACAACCCTGAATGATAAGTGGTCAGACTTCCAGGATATGTTGTTAGCCAAGAAGAAGGGTGTTTCAGGCACAAGAGATAGCCAGGAGAAAGACACAGAGGCAGGAATGCAAGAGCATGTTCTAGGAGCCCCGTTTGTAAGGCAGGGAGGTGGACCAGCTCCTGGAATGTCTCCAAGCTGAGGCATTGGCATCACCCTTTGGGAGATAGCAAAGTCAGGACCTGCAGAGTCACAGCGCTGGGTTTTCCACAGTGAGGGTCTCTGCCCAAGGACAGACAGTGCCAGCAACGAGTGTCTAAAGCAACCGCCATCTTTAAGAACCATCACCCTAACCTCAGCCAGCCCCAGTCCCTCAGAGTTGGGAAGGTCTCACAGGGGCCCCTGTGCTCACCCTCCCTGGTTTATTGGACGTGTTCAGCCAGTCCCAGTGCCTGCCAGGCATCCTGTTCTGCTGAAAGTTCACAGAACATGTCAGGCAGCAGCAGGGGATCCTGGCCCAGCACCCCTGCTCACAGGGCAAGAACGGGCTCTGCAAGGCTACGGCTGGGAAAATCATCATGTACGGTGGGGGCAGGATTGGCTGTGATTTCCCCCTTCAAGTTCCCCTGCTCCATCCTCTGCTGTGACCCATAAATTCACCGAGATGAAGTCATTCCCCAGTCCAGGCTGTAAAAAGTCAGCTGCGTAGCTAGGGAGTTTGCAGCCGAGTTAGATTATAAAATAAAACCAGGGGTTCTGGAAGAGGAGGGTCAAACCCTCTGAGCACTGGGGGAGGGGAGAACATTGTTCTGTTCTTTTAACAAGAACCAGCAGGTTTTCAACTTTGTAAGATTCCTCACCCCACTCTCCCATTTCTCTCCCAACCCCTTTTAGTAGGAGAGTCATTCCTGCAACCACCATGGTGCTTCCTTAGTGTTAAAAAATAAAACTAAAATCAAAAATTGTAAAACTGGCCTGAAAGTTCTCTCCTCCCTGCTGAGTTTGAAACATACCTCATTATTCTGAAGTCTTCTGAAATTTGAGCAGAAGCTGAGAGCTAAGAGAAGGCCCAGATCCTGCAGCCTTCCCCTCTGAGACTGGAGCAAACTATGATGTGGGGAGACTGGCTCCCAATGAGTGATGGAAAGACTCAGTCTTCTCATCTCTAAAAAGGGCACATAGGAGTTGTTGGGATATCACATTGCCTAAGATCTCCTCCAGCTTAGTCTTCAACCCTTTCATTAACTCCCAAAACTATTTATCGAGCACTTACTGTGTTCCAGACATTGGGATAGACCCTAGGGATATAGCAACGGGCAAAGCAGATGAAGTCTTGCTTTCGCCCTCTTCATCTGGCAAGGTTTGAGTATCTGGTACACTCAAAAATGAAGCTGCTCGTGTTCTTGTCACCTTGACAGTGAGAATGTCCATCAAAGTGAGGCTGGTGATGTCTCACACATGCAAGGGCCTCACAGCTCAATGAATGCTTCTCCAGTCTCATTCTACAGGGCCTCCTACATCAGCATAGAAGACTCATTTTCTCAGAAAGGACCATGCAAGATGCAGATCATTATGTTGGCATTCATTGGCTGGATGTGGGCTTTGCACCCTCTTCCCATTCCATCACCCCAAACCTAGTACTCTCTCCCAGTAGGAGGAGACGGGAAGAAGTTTTAAAATGTGTGCCGAATACTTTCTATGTGCCAGGCACAGTGCTAGGCACTTGTACATACATTTTATCTTTACAGTGACTCCCCAGAAGTGTGCAACAGTCTTGTTTCGCAGGTGAGGAAACTATCATATTCCAAAGACAAGGTTCTTAGTTGCATCTGAGTTCTGCAAATTTAATAGCATGGGGAATATAGACCTAGGAGGACTTTGACCTCACAGCCAGCAGCTTATGTCTCAATCCTTTTGTCTTTCCCAGGTAGAAAAGATCTTTTTTCTTTTGAGTTTTCCTGGAGTTCTTAGAATAACGACTTCTAAGGATTAACTTCAGTTATACGCTAGCAAATGTTTAACATTGCTCTTAAGAAAAAAACAAACCTTGATTTGAAGCATTTGCTGATTTCCATGGCATTGTACCCCAACTGTAGCTAATTTCTAGCTATCAATGTGAAAATGGAGTTATACAGTATTTCCACCGTACAGATACAAACATGAAGAAATGTGTTGATGTCTTTGTGTCTCATCTAGAGAACCTGCAGTACTTTATGTGTGATGGGATTGCAATAAATTCTTTTCACAGACCACAGTTCTCACTGGGCATCACTATGTGTCTTAGAAATAGTATGAGTTTGGAATCACCTTGGGAAAACAGTATATTGGACCTGGAAGAAGCCTACAATATTTACTTAATGCTGTGTGACAAATTTCTTCAAATATGTATTATCTCACAGTTTCTGTGACTCAGGAATCCAGGCCTGGCTTAGTGGGGTCCTCTGGCTCAGGGTCTCCCACAGCCTGCACTTGATGTGGAGCCTGGGGCTGTAGTCTCATCTGAAGACTCAACCAAAGAGGATCGTCTCCTTAGTGCACTCAAGTGTTTGTTGGAGGGGCCATTTCCACGTGGGCTATTGGACTGAAGGGCTCAGTCTCTAACTGGCTGTTGCCTGGAGGTTTTTCTTAGTTTCTCACTGCATGGATCTCTCCACAGGAAGGCCTACAACATGGAAGCTGGCTTCCTTCAGAGCAAACAAATGATAGAGCAAGAGAATATACACAAGATAAAATGCAGAGAATTTTTATAGCCTAGTTTTGGATGTGACATCTCTTTACATCTACTGTATTCCATTCATCTGAAGTAAGCCACTAGGTTCAGCCCACCCTCAAGAAGAAGCAGTATACAAGGGTACAAATGGTAGGAGGCCAGGATCATTGGGAACT
Organism: Homo sapiens; assembly: GCF_000001405.40. Taxonomy (NCBI): domain Eukaryota; kingdom Metazoa; phylum Chordata; class Mammalia; order Primates; family Hominidae; genus Homo; species Homo sapiens. Next base: position 78,587,166 of record NC_000010.11, read on the forward strand.
ATTTTTAAAGCTACCTAAAATAGAACCTAAGTGACAACAATAATAACTACAAATACTTACTGAGCACTTATTATGCTCCAGAAACTGTTGTAACTGCTTTCCGTATGAAGTCTTATTTCATTATTACAATTCAGGAGATTGGTTCTGTAAACCCCATTTTACAGTGAAGAAAACTGAGACTTTGACAGTTTGTGTAACTACCTGCAAACTATTCATCTAGGAACTTGAGAGAGCTGTGAGGCTGGCAGCTGGCCTCCTCTGGAGCCCACACTCTCATGACCTGGGCTACCTCTTCTGAGAGGTCACTTAGTGACTTTGGTATTCTTCCCTTTTTGCACATTACAAGTCAGAGCCAGAAAGCTTAAGTAACTGTCTTAGGTCACACAGCAAGCTACGAGCAGAGGCAGAACTCAGATCTTAATGTCTCCTGAGTGCCTTGGTTTTTGAAGAAAGGCTAAAGAAGTAGGCAATAAATCCAGAAAGTAGTATTAAACTTTCTCTCTCCTTGGCCTTTCAGCTCTCTAGAAGTGTACAGGAGACTGACACTTGGCCCAACTCTGAGTGTTATCTGAAAGTCAAGCTTCCCTCCACCCCAAGTTCTGACATGAAGATGATGGCCCTCAGTGGTACCTATGATTAATCCATGTCATTTTTCTGAAATACTTAAGCTTGGTTTCACAGGGGGAAAAAAAAACCCAGGCCCGTCTCAGACATCAGAGTAATGGGCTGGTTTTAAGTTCTCCTGGGGGCTTAATAAAAGGTGGTAGTTTGGGTAACGTTTCTGTGATAGGCCCTTCTGTTAATACTTATCTAGCTAATGCATCTTCCAAATGGCCTGGTGCAGCTTTCAGGACATTAAGGAGATTTCATAATGTTGTTCTACGTATGGTATTTTTGCACTGGATTTTTTTCTTCCTTTCCAGTTGTATAAATTATTTTATGAAAAAGGTGGCAATGCTAAGGGAATAGGGGTGGGAGGAAATGTTAAGATTTTACAGGACCCAGCCTGAAGCATTTTTGGAGCCCAGAGGGAGCCAGGCTCCACATTCTTGAACACAGGAGGAACAGGAGGAATGGAAGCTTAGTGGAGCGGCGGGGCCTGTGGCTGACAAACACCAGCTGCACTGAGTACATATCACATCATGGCCTGGCAGACGTCTTCTCCTTCAAAATGACACAGGCTATTAGCAGACTCACCGCAAAAGGATATGCCAGGAGTGGATGCATGGAATTCCTGCTGATATACTGGAATCCCAAGACTAAAGCAGGCTTCCCTGCCCTTATCAGACCAGCCAAGATAACTGGAGCAAGGGTGGAATCTGCACACAAGAAAGAAATTCCACCTTACAAATACCAGGCCCCAGATCCAGGCCCCGTGTTTGATGAATTTATTGATTCCACATAGCTGAAGGCCTGTTCTGTGCCAAGTATACTGCTTGGAGTTGTAGACACAGGATGATAAAATATAGTCCGTGCTGTAAGGGTACTCCTGGACCAATGGGAAATGCAAATGACATCTAAACCAACCACAAACATGCAGTGTGATGAGTGCATAGATAGATTGAAGCCAGGAGTGGGACGGAGGCATGGAGGACAGGCACAGAGTCAATTCATGGGGTGGAGACGACTTTTGAAGGATCACGCTTGAGCTGCGTCTCTCAGGAGAGGGAGGAGAGGCCAGACAAAGAAAGATAGTCACACGATGTCACAGAGCATAGTTCTTTTTGGACCTTCTCTGAGAGATGCTTTGGATCTTCTCTGAGAGATATATTGTGGACCAGAATTGTAGGACCACAGGGTCCTTTATTTCACTAACTATTTCTGTATGATTCTCATGAACAACTGCAACAAAATTCCTACAGCTGTGTGCAAGGGTACCTATTTTCTTCATATTCTCACCCAGAGTTAATGTTTTCCAGTTTTCTAATGTTTGCCAATCAGATGGGGTATAAAGTGGTTCCACATCCCAATTTGCATGTCTGTGCTTTCTTGATAGTTTGCCTTAGCCACTTGGATTTCTCCTATGAATTGCTTATTTATATTCTTTGCATGTTTCTCTATTTCTTTTTCTTCTTGTTGATTTTCAGGAATTACTTGAGCAACCTACTTATTAATCATTTGCTGGTTTTAGGCCTTGTCAAAGTCTTCTCCAAATTGTCATGCACCTGTTAAGGTTTTGAATGGTGCACTTTGATGAACATAATTCTGCCTTTAAATTCTGATGTAAATCCACTTGTTTTTCCCCTATGGCTTGTGTTTTTGGAGTCTTATTTTAAAAAAATTCAGGACTCCAAAGTTAAAAAAAACCCTACATATTTTTTCTATTAGTTTTAGTCTTAATTTTGACAACTAGATCTTTAAACCACTTGGCATTTATTTTTATAGAAGGAATGAGATAAGGACTCAACTTTATTTTTCTCTGCATAGGAAGTTACTAAGCTACTATTCCTAACATACTTTACTAGCTAATTTATTCTTTCTCCAATGATTTGTGATGCTAGCTCTACCATATACCTGTTGGGAGCCAATTCTTCATGTGTATCTTGCATTTCTGCATACCTTATAAGCAGAGACTGTGACAGACTGTTTGCAACTATCTTTTCAAGGATGTTTGTATAGCAAACACCCTTGGAAATAGAGATACTGTCTCCATGCAGAACAAAGGGCAGGTTTGTTTACTACCAAGTATAATAAAATAACTTCTCCCTCTGGGGCAAAGTTCAGGCAAGCTTACCGCCCATTACAAAAGGTTTGGGTTTAAGCTTAGTGTTTCTCTCCTGACAATTAACCCACTATGTGTGGAGGCATCACCCAGACCTCTTCATGTCATCCTGTGGGAACTGGGATGCGAGGAACCAACACAAATGCTGATGTTCTGACTATTGCCATTGCTATGAGTAATTAGCTGCCCGTTGTCTCTGAACCTAGGGTCTTGTGTCTTCTGCTAACAACGATGAAATTGTGGCAAGTTCAGACTCTTAACAGCTCATGACCATACCAAGTTCTCATATAATTGAGACTGTATACTTTTTTATTAGTATATTTCTCTCTCTCTTTCTTTTTTTACCCCAGTATCAACTATTTTAATTACCATTACTTTGTAGTAAGTCTTATCGTCTGATAGGGCAAGCTCCCAACTTTGTTCTCTGTCAATGTTGGCTTAATTATTTCTTAGCATTCATTCTCTTATAAAAAATTTTTTTGGAATCAGTTTGTTAAGCTCTGTAAAATCTTGTCTGAGTTTTTATTGGAATTATTTTGAGTGTGCAGATTAATATAGGAAAAATGGCATCTTTCTAATGCTCTCTATTCATGAATATGGATTTTATCTCACTTCCTTAGGTTTAAATTTTCTTCCATAAATGTTTTGTACATTCCTTAATAAGTCAATTGCTACTTTGGAGAGTCTGTTGCTATTGTAAATCGTATCTTATTTTTTATTGCCATTTCTTGTTGTTAATGGAGGTATAGAAGAACATTATTACTTCTCACATATTCATCTTGTATGTTGCTGTTTTGATTTTTGTATGTAAATGATCATATCGTCTATTAATGATGGGGAAATTTCTCTTTCTTTTCACTCTACCATTATTTCTTTCTTTGTTAACAAGAACCTCTAGAATTACATGGCACAGTAGTTGTGACAACAGTTCTGCTTGTTATTTTCATGACCTAAAAGGAAATTTCTCTTAAGTATGATGTTTTCTCTACATGTTTAGCATGTAACCTTTGTTGAATTAAGGATGCTATCATCTATTTATTTCTGTAAAAACTTTTTTAAATATTAGAATTTCATATTAAACTTTATGCTATTTCCGCATTGACTGATATGATGGTTTTTCCCATTTCTATCATTAATATGGTGAATCACATGAATAGATATCCTTTGCATTTCTGGGACAAATCCTACTTAGTCACGATGTATTTTTAAAAATATACTGTTATATTCCGTAGCCTAATCATATATTTAGAGGGTTTACATTAATGTGGATCATTGTATAAATTTTTGTGTTTACTCTGAATGAAATGGAGAGTCATCTAACCCTTTCCAGGGGAGGGGTGATAAGATTAGATAAATGTTTTTAGAAGGACCACCCTGGCTGCAGTTGTGAAACTAGATTGCAGTGAACAAAGAAGGAAACAGGCAGAAAAGTTAATTTGCCAATTTGCTTTGTAAATCCAGATATGAAATGATGGTTTCTAGCAGGGTGGAGGCAATGAAGAAGATGAACAGGCTGGAGGCTGGGTATATTTTAAAGGTTGAGCCAACAGGGTGTTTGCTATGTTGAATGTTAGGAGAGAAAACAAGGAGTCAGGTTTTTGAGCAAGTGGAATAACAGAGTTGCCATTTGGTGAAATGAAGAATAATGCAGGTATGGCAGATTGTGGTAGAGACAGATGAGACAGAGGTTGGTGGCTGATATGAAGAGTTTGCTTTGGGACATGGTAAGGATATTGGGTATCTAATGAACTTATTGCCAGGACCAGAGGACCTGTCTTCAGGTGAAGTTTCCAAAAGTACTGCCTGAAACTTCGCCCCAGAAATGTTCTGAGGAGGGACCTTCCAGGCCACCAATGTCCCTGTCATCACCACATACTAATATAACAGAATTTCAGATTTCTCACTATCACAGTTGCTGTCAGCTCCATGCCACTTCTGCATCCAACCACGACTGTGCATCACTACTGCTACTAAACCGACTAAGTGAGACCTCTTAATCTCCAACCTCACCAGCAAATCCAGATTCAGTGCTGAGTTCTTTCTTCCAGTTATTCAGCTCTGAATTAAACTCTCTGGCAGGTACATCTAATTTTACATGTACAGGTTACCCGACACTTTGTGATTGAGCATATATTTGTGCCATGCTGCAAAGGAGGCTGGGTAAGTAAATGTTCTGACTTCTGCTGCAGGAAGACAGAACTCATAAAGCAATGTACTTACAAGACATCACAGGGGTGTTTAAAGGGTTCGAGGCAGCCAGAAACCTTGATAAGTATCTATTAGAATTCCTAGCTCACCTTTACTTCCCAAATTGTACTGCTTTCATCTCTTACTTTTGGCTTCTTTTGCTCAAGTGATGGTTTGGTTTGGTGTGTGTGTGTGTGTGTGTGTGTGTGTGTGTGTGTGTGTTTATTCGTCCATATTTTGCATGTATCCATGGATTGTCCCTTTTTATTGTTGACTATTATTCCATTGTATGAATGTACCACAACTTCTTTTCTGTTTGTGGACATTTGTGTGGTTTCCATTTTGGGGTGATTATGAATAAAGCTGCTTCAAACATCTTACTATAAATAGTGTGTGGACATGTTTTTATTTCTCTTGGATAAATACCTGAGAGTGGAATGCCTGGGTCATTGAATGGGTGTATGTTTCCTTTTATAAGAAACTGCTAGACTTGTTTCCAAACTGGTTGCACCATTTTATGCCCCCACAAGGAGTATATGATAGTCCCAGTTACTCCACATCCTCATAAACACTTGATGTTCCCAGGATCCAATCTCAAGATCCATCTCACTCCAGAACACATCTGTCTGGTGCTCCTTCATGCCCTTTGGCATAAAGGGACCTATCCACTTCTGAACATGGGGAATCTCCCTTTCCCTGGGCTCCTTTCGGCCAACAGGAGACAGTTTCCTATAATGCTTATTCTTGGGCTGACCTTGGCCAAGTCCTTTTCATTCCCCCGGACCTCAGTTTCCTTGTTGCTGACCAGAAGCTTTGGAGAAGGTAATTGCTTCACTTCCTTTCAGTGGTGACATTTTCCCGTGAGCCTTTCCAATCTATGTTCTTTCCTCGTTTCCTTTTCCATCTGTCACTTGACACTGTGCAATTGATTACATTTCCTTTAACTGTCTTGGAAAACAGCTTGTATTTTTTTTATTTTTTTTTACAAAAAGAGACTTTAAATAAAGCTCCATTTTGCTAACAAATTTGAGAAGAAAAGTGGAAAGGAATGTGACATTTATTGAACACCTACTATGAACCATGTTTTTACAGATCCAATCTCTTGTTGAATTCTTGCAAGCACCCTATAATGCAGTATTTCTGAGTGGCATTTTTACCTGTTTCACTTTTCCCTCCATCTCTGTATTAAAGTTCTTTGGAGAAACAGAACCAATAGGATATATTTAGATAGATAAGAGGAGATTTGTTATGGGAATTGGCTCACATAATTATGGAGGCTGAGAGAAGTCCCCAGCCTGCCATCTGCAAGCTGCAGAAGGGTGGAGGGGGAGGTTGGTGTAAATCCTAGAATCTGAAGACCTCAGAACCTGGAGCTTCGATGTCCAAGGACAGATGGGTGACCCAGCTCAAGAAATGAGAAGGAATTTATCCTTCCTCCACCTTTTTTTATTAAAGAGTCGAGGTCTTGCTATGTTCCCCAGGCTGAAGTGCAGTGACGTGATCATGGCTCACTGCAGCCTCAAAAGCCTGAGATCCTACCTCAGCCACCCAAGTAGCTGGAACTCCAGGCACATGCCACCATGCCTGGGCTTTTTTTTTTTTTTTTTTTTTTTTTTTTTTGGTAGAGGCAAGATCTTGCTATGTTGCCCAAGCTGGCCTCAAGTGATCCCCCCATCTGGGCCTTCCAAAGTCCTGGGATTACAGGAGTGAGCCACTGCACCTGGCCTCTTCCGCCTTTTTGTGCTATTTAGGCCAGCAACAGGATGATGCCCACATTGGTGAGGGCAGGTCTTCTTTACTCACTCTATTGATTGATATGCTAATTTTTTCTGGAAACATCCTCACAGACGCACCCAGAAATCACGTTTTATCAGCTATCTGTCTTAGCCCAGTCAAGTTGACACCTAAAATTAACTATCACAGCCTCAACTGCTCTTCCTTGAGCCAGCCTGTGACCACTCCCTGGCCTCATTCTTGTCTTGCCCACATCGCCACCTCCCCAGAATGTCCCCAGCCAGTATGTTTGAAACGTCAGCCTCTCCCACTCCCCCCAATGGTTCCCCTCCACTCCTTCTGCTTCACTGTTTTCCATATCATCACCACTTGACTAAAATGTATTTTTATTATTTTTTTAAAAAATTTTTAGTTCTGGGGTACATGTGCAGAGTGTGTAAGATGTATTTTTCTTGTTTTTTTTTCCTCGCCCACCCCAAATAGAATTTAAGCTTCATGAGATCAGAAATTTTTTGTTTCTTTTGTTCACTGCTGTATCGCATCTACTAGGCACCTAGTAAGCAAGCAAGCAATGTTGAATGCATGATGATATATGAATGAATGCATGCAGGAGTGAAATGAAGAAACAAAAGTTCTGACTGTGACTAGCTTATCCTTGGTGACCCTGCCAGTGAATCATGGGCCTGGGGATGCAAAGATGAATGAGGTGTGCTCTCCTCCTGGGAGATACCACCACTTACCCTATCTAAAGAAGTCCTCCATTCATCCTTTTTTCATGCATCCTGCCTTATGTGCACTATTTCATCAAATAATACAGATGCATTTGTTTACTAGCTTTCTACCCCACTGGAGGGTGGGGACTTGTTCTCTGCCATATCCGTAGGGCTAAAACAGAACCTGTGTGCTGCTGGACCTCAATAAACATGTGCTGAATAAATAAACACACAAATGAAAAAAAATGAATAGCTTAGGCCCCTGTCATATTTTATAGCACAAGGAAGTTCTCTTTTGATGTACTTTTGAACTCGTGTTTATAATTATCTGTTTAAAGTATATATCCTGCAGGATTCCAAGTTTCCCAAGGGGCAGAAACTCTCTCATTCATATTCATTCCCAAGGGCTAGCACTATCTGACCTGTAGTAGACCCTTAATAAGCATAATAAGCATGTGTTGAATCAATAAATGAAGGGTAAATGCTAAGCACGTGATTGTTGGCTAACCGAGTGCATCAGGCCCTCTTGAGCATGACGGCAGATCCTCTGCACCTGCTCTTACTCCAGGCACAGCCCGGGTCATCCATTCCATGCAGTCTCTGACCACATGGGGCAGGGGTGGCCTGGTGCCTCCCCCACAGGCTTGCCCTGTTCAACTCTCTCGTCCTCCCTGGTATGGCAAGCCCTTGGCATCTCTCTTTACTTACACATCCTCAGCCAGAGGTGTCAGCAGTTTGGAGCCAGTTTTGACTGATGGAGGGTGGGAGCTGATGGATAAATGTGTCGCCAGTTTGTCCCAGGTAGACAGTCCTGAGGACCAGTTCGTTATGCTTCCAGTCACCTATAGAGGTGGCCAACTCAGGTTTTCCCTCCTTCCCTGGTTTACTCCCTGCCTGTCACTCCTGCGCATTTCTCAATATACTCCCTGCACACAAGCCTTTGTGGAGGGCTCAGCTTTCAGGGGAATGCAGGTCAGGATGCCAAGTGAAGTGCTGGTGGGCAAGCCATTTTTCCTGTACTAAGTTTCCCAATGGCCTGTGATTTAGAGGCATCCTTGTCTTTGATAGGCAGGAGGCAGAGGGGTTCACGGGACGGTTGATCATGAGACTGCTCTCCCTCTATGGATTCCGAGGCCCAGACCTGGAAGGAAGTACTAGGAAGCCTCGTAGCCACATCATGTCCTCCAGTCCAGCTTTGTTAGTGTTAAGGCTGGAACGTGGTTGCCATCTGACTACAATGTCTAAGTCTCAACTGGCTGAAACTGGGAGAAAAGATGTTTATGATTAATTAGCAGTCCCAAACCCCAAAAGGGCTTTAAATGGGGTGTACATAAAGTGCTATAGTGATACCAATTGATGATCACATCCTAGGGCAGGGAATGAGGAGTGGTCAAAGAAAGCCACAGAGAGGAGGTGGTGCCTGAAGTGGCTTTGAGGGAGGAGGAGAATGCTCAGGGCAGAAGTCGGAGAAGGGCATTCTGAGCAAAACATCCATGCAGGGACTCAGGTAGAGCACACTATTTGTTAAGGGGTGAGTTAGTTAAGGGGTGATGCCCTGAGTTCTTTCCTCTCCCTAGCAATTGATTCGTTATCTCTGGATATAGATCAGTTAGGAATGCTTTAGGTTGCAAATAATGGAAAGCCTAATTTTAGTTGTTTCATCAAAAAGGATTTCTTTTTCTCACATGCCAAGCTATCTGGAGAAAAGTGAATGCTGAGGTGTCAGTGCTTTAACAGTGCCAACACTCTGTGGGTTTCTCGGTTGATCTTTGACGAAGACTTGGTTGCCCCTTGATCTCAGGATGGCTACTGTAACTCCAGACATCATGTCTGCAGGCAAGGCTGAATGGAAGCGAGTGAAGTGAGCTGCCACTTCTCTTCATTTATCATAAAAGCAAAAGGCTTTCCAAAGACTTCCAGAAGACTATTTCCAGCTCATTAGCCAGAGACTGATCACATGACCACCCCTAGCTACAGCACAAGAGGATGATGAGTGGGTATATAGTTGGACATATGATGGCACCTGAACAGAATCAAGGTTCTATTAGCAGGAAACTATCTGCCTTGGAGTTTCAAGTTCCATTTATGGAATAAAGGGTATGATGATATCAAGGGTGAATGGCCCTTCCCCAGGACCACCTCCATGGGAGCCACTTCCTCCATCGCGTCTAACCTCTGTTATCTTTGCACACATGAGAACAGGTCAGCAGGTCAGCTGAGGGGCTTGAGGAGCCTCCAGCAGGGGCTGGGCTTAGTTCTCTTTGAGGCAGCTCTGGAACCAGGCCAGTACTTTCCACACAGGTGGAGATCTCCTGGCAGGGGGCTCATCTTATTGTTCCTGCTGTGCTGGTGTCCCCCCCCCCCCCCCACAAAATTCATATGTTGATTACTATTTCCTAATGCAATAGTATTAAGAGGTAGGCCTTTGGAGGCAATTAGTTCATGAGGGCTCTGCTCTAATGAATAAGATTAGTGCCCTTATAAGGTATCTTGTTTGCCTCTTTCACCACGTGAGGACACACAGGAGATGACGTCTATGAACTGGAAAGCGGGCCTTCGCCAGATACTGGATCTGCTGTCATCTTAATCTGGGACTCTTCAGTCTCCACAACTGTAAGCAACAAATCACTGTTGTTTATAAATTACTCAGTCCATGGCATTTTGTTATAGCATCCCAAAGGGGCTAAAGTGGGGAGGGTGGGTGATGAGCACTAACACTTTGGCTTTGAAACTCAGTTGACAGGTGCAGAAAAGGCCATCTTACCCCAACCTCCAAGCCCCATCCACTGCCACATTTGCCTCCACTTATTTTGGACAGGAAAATGCAGTCTGGGCTCGGGAAAACTCTGTGTTCTGACTTCACTCTTCCCCTGATGGGCTCAGGCAGGTCCTTTCTCATCACTGAGTCTCAGTTTCCCCACCTCTAAAATTAGGAACTGTGTTATCCCCTTTGATTGCCTGGAAAGATTCTTGCTGGAGTGGACAGATCCCTGATTTTAGAGTCCTATGTTGTTGTTTTTGTACCCTGTGTTCTCTGTTTCCCTCTCTGGCTGGCTGGATGGTCATGGGCCATAGCTGTCTTCTCTGTGCTTCACATTGCCTGTTTGTAAAATCAGAGGGTGATTGCCAAGAAATCCTGCTGCATTAAACACATCTGGGCACTGAGGCAGACTATCCTGAGTGCCCAAAGTGAGGTGAGCAGAGGACACAGAGATGAAGACAAGAGAGCTGTTGGGGCACCCAGGTGTCAGGGGCAAGGCTCAGCACATGGAAGCTCCATTTGTTTGGGACAGTGGTCCACAGGCAGTCTGCTAGCCTCACCTGTGAAACACTCTGGGCCCACAGGGCACTTTACATACCCTCTCCTGCCTGTGGAAGGTCTGCGGAGGAGCTCCATGCAGACGGCCTCCCTACAAACACGGACTGCCACCTTGCCTGGCCTCCCTCTGGACTCCATGACCCACCCCCCGGGCACTGCAGGATCAGTGGCTGATGGCATTGCCAAGGGGTGGGAAGCATGGGGGGAACAGGCCCAGAGTCCTGAGCTCTGTGTTCAGTTAGGCCACTGTGTCCCTGGAATGGGGACCAGCTGCCCAAGAGGACCAGGCATGTATGCCTGCTGTACAGGAAGTGAGACACCCAGGGCTATCTGGGGTGTGTTTTCAAGAAAATCTTGAAAACTGCAGCTCTAGCCAGAGGTAAACAGGGTTTCATTAAATCATGCCTGGCCTGAAGTGCAGAGAGTTGGTCTGTTTAACAAAGCAGGCACGCTCCCTGCGCGATGGTCCTGGCAGCTGTGTTGGTGAAGGACACACCTCCACAGAGAAGAGAAACAAAGACAGCGTAGTCGTGTGGTTCTGGCTGGCATCCCCATTATTCCCCTGCCCTGCTCCCTCCGGCACCTTGTGGATGTGCTGGTGTGCCTGCCTGCCTACCTCCTGACACCCAACCAGTCATCCAGGTAACATGTCCCAAACACCTACGACCAGCTGCTAAGTGAAGCATTTTCACTGGCTGGACTGGAGTTAAGGCTTGTGACACTTCTCTTAGGTGGACATTATCATCCCCTTTTTGCTCTTTTCCAATTAAGGAAACGGAAACTTTTGGAGGTTGATACATGATCCAGAATTGCACCCCCAGGAAGGAACAGCCGGGAGATTCAAATCCAGATCTTGTCATCCAAGGTCTGGTTCCAAGTCTGCCCCTCAGAACCTGAGCCTCCTGGTTGCTCCTCCAAATTATCTCATCACAGCGAATTCCACCTGTTCAATTCCACCTGTTCTGAGGTGAGCTGCCATGACTCCACTTGGTTCTTAAAATGGCCCCAGGAGATCACTAGAGAGTCAGGATGATGCCCATTCTGTGGAGTAAAAACAATGGTCAACAGAGCTCAGTGACTAGCTCCAGGTCCCTTCGCCAATCCAAGACCAATCCAGTTGCAGATCTTAGAAGTATTCCTTCTCTTTTAAAGTGTCAGACAAACAGAGCAACACACTTGCCGGGGTAAAGTTCTAATTAACTTTCCAGGCTTTAATTCTGGTGTGCGAATGTTCATTTCCAGGCTTGTTGGCAAATGTGTGGAACATGATCTCTCTCTCAGTTCTTCCCTTTATGTTTGAACCTATATGCTTTGTAGGTGGGGTTCAAAAAAGGCTTCATGCTTCAGGGGCTGAGGTCCCTTGGGTCCATGGAACAGACCCCCTCAGCAATGGACATGGGATTGGGGCACTTGAGCTGGAAGACAGCCTGGTTCTTCACTCACAGCCCAATCCTAAGTGATTCTTCATACCACCTGTGGGCAGCACCTGCACATGGGATTTCTTCTTCAGAGGTCTGTGTGCTTGTGATAAAACTCTTGCTAGCTGGGTGAAGGTGGAGGGCACCCACCTTCACCTAGAGTAATCACAAACTCTACAGAAGCCTCAAGTCTATGGAAAGGGCACCTTCCCCTGCCATGCAGAAGGGGAAGCACCCGCTGTGAATGTCCCTGAGTTTGGTCTATTATGTGATATGCATTACTTTGAGGAACACCCAAATAACCTTACGGTAAAGATGTCATCTTTCTTATTTTGAAAACAGAAACTGTGGTTGAAAGAGGTAAAGCAACTTGCTCAAGATCATGTGGCTCGGAAGGAGTACAGCAGGATTTTAAACTTGGTCTGTGACACCTGTGTCCCTGGGCACTCCCCTGGCCTTCATGTGACCACTGAAGAGAAATGATTTGGCTTCCTGTCCAGTGAACAACAGAGGAAGGAGAGGATCCCAGGAGCCCTCTCTTCTCCTAGCAATTCAGCTCTGGAAAGACATAAGATGCAATTGCTGAGCCTCACCCTTTTATCCTGGGGATGGGGAACTGAAGCCCAGGATGAAAAAGGGTTGTTCAATGTCATAGCCCAAGTTGGCTCTGCCAAAACCATTCTCTAAGAACTCACTGGAAGCTGAGTACTCTCCAAGGCACAGCTGGGGGAGACTGCAAACAGCTGGACCCTTGTGCCTTGCCTTCCAAGGCTCTGGAAACAGCATGTTCACAGAATGACAGGTGGCACAGAGCTCAGGACACTTGGGTCTTCTTCCTTGGTGGGTTCTATGCCTGGGGCCATTCTGTCTCTCTCTTGCCTGGTGCCTTTGCCTCCACCTTGCTTATAAGCTCTTTTCTTCCAACTACATTCAGAAGCTCCCTGAACATTTCATGCCTGTTATCCCAGGGGTATATGGCCTATTCCTCACTGCTACCTCTGTTTACATGCCATAAAGGGAGAAGCGGCTTAAGGCATGCAGGGGAGGTGAGTTCACCCATGGTTGAAAAAGGCATCTGACTTCAAAGCTGGGAGCTTGGCCCCAGCTCTGCCACTTCAGTGATGGTTGGCCTCCCACAGCAAACCCAACCCAAGCCCCAGGCTCCTTCCTCTGCCACCCCAGGCATGCTGGGACTCAGCCAGAGCCGGAGCTTTGAGCTCTGGAGTACAGCTTCATGTGGACGTCTGAGTGCCCTGGGAGTCCTGGTGTTATATTATTCCCATATTGAAGGCCATCCAAGACTATGAAAACTCTAGGACAAAACACTTAAAATTCCAAGCAAATTCCCAGCCTCGTTTCCTGTGCATTCCTTCCCACCACCCTGGGCAACTCGATGGGTTGCCCCATGGTCAGAGTCTAGTGAAAAGTAGGAAACATCAATCAAATGCATTGCGAGCAATGGCTACGCAGAAAGGGTGGGAGTGTGGAGGCACACGTGTGCTGGTATGGAAGCTTGAAAATGGATGGAGGTGACTAGAGACACCTGTTAGCTATGCAGGAACACAAGTAGAACACAGGAAAACCATCATCTCATAAATTCATTCAATAACATCTTCACTTAGCTCCTACCACGTGCTAGGGAGTGCCAGAGGCTGGGATAAATGGTGAGTCAAGCAAACATGCCCTTGTGTTCTCAGCCCATACAGCCTGGGAGGGAGGCAGACAGCAGCCACATGGGTGAGTAGATAATCACAAGCTGAGAAAATGCTAGGAAGGAAAATACAGGCTAATGTGAGACAAGCTTGAAGGAGAAGCTGAACTAATCTGGAGAAGAGAAGAATCCTACGAAAAAGTGGCCTATGAACAAGAATCTGAAGGATGAGTAGAATGTGCATTGGGGAACAACAAGAGAAACAGTGAAAACTTTCTTGGCAAAGAATATAGTTTGTGCAAAGCCCCTGGGACAGGGAGGATCATGGCCCATTGGATGCTGAGCATGGAGAGGCAGGTGGAGCAAACTCTGGAGGACACTGGGCCAGGTTAGAGCCTTGTCCTTCCTCCTGAGAGCAAAAGGAAGCCATCAGATGGGCAGCAGGGGGAAATACCCTCAGAGTTGTATCTTAGGAAGGTCACTCTGACAGCTTTGACAGAGGTATAGGGTAGGGGCAGGCAGATGAAGAAAAAATTACAGTCATTGAGGAAGACTTTGCATCCCCCATGCAGGTGAGACAGGGTGCATAAGAGTGGTGATGAAAGAGTCGGAGAGCACGGCATGCATGCAAGGGATGTTTAAGAGATGACATTGCATGACCTGGGGACAATCTGTATTGAGAAGGGGTGAGGAAATAGGAAATACCCAGGCAAAAGGGACAGCAGTGTCATTAGCAGAAATAAGCAACAGTGGATGTGGTTGAGCTTGGCCCGTTCTTCTGAAGGTGAGTGCTACACCTTGGGAGATGACACAAAGACAAAAGCGCACCTCTGGCCGAGGAAGAGAGGAGAACAGAATCATATCTAAGCAGGGGCCAGAGGAGGGGCCTTGGGAAGGGCAATGGTGAGAGGCAAGCAGCATTGTGGCTATCCTGGTCCATGTCCCTTCTCTCTTCCTGTCCCCATCTGGTCTGGGTCTATCCTGGTGAAGCCAGAGGGAGGGGAAGGGCTGACTGCACACTCTTCAGCCTCAGGCTGGGCAGTGCCCTCATCACCCCCAGCAGTCCCTGCCTGCCTCTCCTGGCACTGCTCAGCCTGCAGCCATTCCTATGGGGCCTCACTCCACTGCATCCCCTCCACTGGCTACAATAGTAATAATGGCAGCTCACCACTTACATTGGCCATATTGCTTAGGCCTCCCAGTAACTCTCTGAAGAAAGTACTCCATATGTATCCATTTTGCAGATAAAGATAATTGATGCTTAGGGAGGCAACTTAATTCACTCAAGGCCGCTCCACTAGCAGGGGGCAGATAGGAATTGGAGCTCAGGTCTGTTTGAATTCAAAGGCATGGCTTCACCTCTAATCCTACCCACTTTCCCCTGCCGGCTCCTCTGCCTGACAGCCAGGCTGGGCCCCAGTGCGGGCTGTGAGACTGCTCCCCATGTCCGCATCTTTCCCAGGCCCCTCCTCGTGTCTGAGGGTCTTAGCACCTGCCTCAGGCCACAGGAGGGAGTCGTGTCCAGCAGGAGAAATGCCTGCTCTGCACCAGGACCCACTGGCTCTAAGCCACTCTTAGGAATCAGACCTAAATGTCGCCCTCACTGGTTCCCTTTCCACCCATGTCCCCAGAAAAGTCCCAAGCAGTGAGCACCTCACGTAGAGTTGGGGGCACCCGTGTGCTATACAAAAGCCTCCTTGTTGTTTCCACAACCCCCTCAAGTCACGGCACCACTGTAGTCTCTAAAGTTGGGTCCCAGAAAACCCCATCCTGGAGTTCCCCCAATCCATGATTCATATGGACCTCATCCCCAGCCCAGACACCTGAGCACCCAGAGCGTGGGCGGTGGTGACACCACACAGACTCGAGAAGCCAGCCTGGACCCAGTCTCTCTACTTAAATTCCCTTGCTGAGGACATGGTTAATTTGGACTAGAGAAATTCTGAAGGCTCTTCCAGCTCTGAAATTTGCTATTTCTGTCTGGAAAATGACCCCAAAAATAGCATATTCCATTCCATATAAAACAGGAAGGCTACAAACATTATCTTCCTAATCAAAACTTTTTGACAAATTCCTTGTTCCCTCAGGACAATCATCGATAAAATTTCCACAAAGGAAGGGCCTTTTATTCGTGTGATTTGCTGCTCTATCTAGGGTCTAGGCCAGTGCCTGTCACACAGTAGGTGCACAATAAATATGTAAGGACTGACTGGGTCTATCTGTTTCCTAGGGGTGTTGTAACCAAGTACCACAAACTGGGGGACTTCAAACAAGAGAAATTTATTATCTGACAGTTCTGGAGACTAGAAGTCCCCAGACAAGGTGTGCATGTCCCCCGTCTGGAAAACCACAGAGGAAAGTCCTTTCCTGCCTCTAATAGCTTTTGGTGTGGCCATCAGCTCTTGGCATTCCATGGCTTCTAGATACATGGCCCCAACCTTTGCCTCTGCCATCTTCAACCTGTGTCTCTGTCTTGTCCTTTCTTTATTTTATTTTAATTTCAGACGGAGTCTTGCTCTGTCGACCAGGTTGGAGTACAGTGGCACGATCTCGGCTCACTGCAAACTCTGCCTCCCGGGTTCAATCAATTATCTTGCCTAAGCCTCCTGAGCAGCTGGGACTACAGGCATGTGCCACCATGCCCAGCTAACTTCTGTATTTTTAGTAGAGATGGGGTTTCACAGTGTTGGCCAGGCTGGTCTTAAACTCCTGACCTCAGGAGATCCACCCGCCTCGGCCTCCCAAAGTGCTGGGATTACAGGCGTGAGCCACCGTGCCCAGCCTTGTCCATTCTTATAAGGACACCAGACATATTGGATGAGGGCATATCCTCAGGACCTTATCCTAACTTGATGACATCTTCAAAGACCCTATTTCTAGATAAGGTCACATACACAGGTCCTGGGGGTCAAGATTCCCATGTATCTTTTGGGGAGACAGAATTCAACCTGTAATAATGAATGAACATTCCAAATGCCCTGGGCTATTTCACTTCCAACTTCTGTTTCCAGGGATCCCTGACGGACTGGGCTCACTGTCACTTTTCTGCAGAGCGGGTGTGTGCTCTTCAGGAGCCAGGTGGTGGGGATGCTGGGGAGGAGCCTCTTCTATTTCTAGATCCCTAAGGATGGAAGGAACATGGGGACCATCTGGCCCACCAGCCCATGTTACAATGGAGGAAACTGAGCCAGGGAAGGGAAGGGGCTGGCTCATGGTCTCAAAGGAAGTATCACACTTTGCCTGGTCACGCCACTTCTGCCGGGTCACCATTTATATTTGGCCTGGATTCCAGAGAAGCCTTAAATGAGGCTGACCAGAAGCCTAAGTTTGAAGCAGTAAACCCTGCAGTGTCTGTAGGGGCTTGTGAAGAAGGAGCCAAAATGTATTTACTCAAATTAATAATTACTGTACTCTATAAGGCACTTCCATGGCTGATTCAGTGAGGCGTCCATCAGCCAGTCCTCGAGCGCTGGGGAAAAGGGCTGTGGGGTGGGAAACCAGGAAGCTAGGAGAGCAGACAAGCAGACATCAGGGGGGCTCTGGGCTGACCGTATGACAGTGGCCCTGTGCCACCTCAGAGCCCACCCAACTTAAGTGAAGAGCAGGCTTCTGTGGCTGGAGGGAAGGCCAAGTCTGGGCACTGCATGGCATCTTCCACCGAAGCTTGTCTCCCAGCTCAGCCCCATGCCTTAAGGCTTTGAGCTCAGCTCCGTGTCGCGAGGCAGCGTGTGACAGAAGTGAGGGCAGGCTCTCAGCTGCAAATAAAAATAAAACTGCATGGACTGCTTTTCCAGAAATTTTCATAAGCCAGGACACAGGTCAGGAGTGCTTTACAACATCCCTATGAAAGTGTGATGAGAGAGAGGGAACACCTGCATGTTCCCCTTGAGCAAAGGATACTCATGGCTTTGGTGTGCAGTGGCTTGGAAGGGTACAGCCCAATGTAGCCCCTTGGTGCCTGTGGGCTTGCCTGCTGGCTGTGGTGCTTGGTGGTGGTGGTGGCAGCTCCAGGGCAGCTATGGGGGGCAGCACCAAGGGCAGGATGTGGTGTCAGGTTCTAGGGGAGCGCAGGAAGGCTGGCCCCCCGGCAGCTTTGATGGGCAGGCACTGGAAACAGTGGCTGTGCTGAGAGGCTTCCGTGGAGCTTCTGGGACAAGGATTCCTGTGGAAAGGGACAAGATGGGAAGGACTGGCAAAAGATAGAACTAATGCAGCTGTCACAGACTGGCGGAGACGACTGCTGGTTTTGTTTGTGTGTGTGCGCGCTCATGCATAACAACACCTCAGTCAACGACGGACCACATACACAACTGTTTCCATAAGATTACAATGCAGCTGGAAAACTTCTATGGTCTAGGGACATCCTAGCCATTGTAACATCATAGCACAAGGCATTACTCAGGTGTTTGTGCTGATGCTGATGTAAACAAACCTAGTGCTCTGCCAGTCATATCAGAGTACAGATCATACAGTTATGTACAGTACATAATACTTCATAGTGATAATAAGTGACTACGTTACTGGTTTATGTATTTACTATACTATACTTTTAATTATTTTAGATTATATATATATATTTTATATATATATATATATATGCAAGTTAACTGTGAAAGAGCCTCAGGCATGTCCTTCAGGTATTCTGAATGAAAGTATTGCTATCATAAAAGATGACAGCTCCATGAGTATTACTGCCCTGAAACCCTTCCAGTGGGACAAGACGTGGCAGTGGAAGACAGTGACATGGATGATCCTGACCCTCTGTAGACCTAGGCTAATGTGTGTATTTGTGTCTTAGTTGTTAACAAAAACTTTTAAAAAGTAAAAAACCAATAATAATAAAATTTTTTTAAATTAAAAAAGCTTATAGAGTAAGGATATAAAGAAAGAATACTTTTGTACAGCTGAACAATGTTTGAGTTTTGAGCTAAGTGTTATTACAGAAGAGTCAAAAAGTTTTGAAAAGGTTATATAGTAAAAAAGTTACAATAAGCTAAGGTTAATTTATTATTACAGAAAGAAAATTTTAAAATAAATTAAAATAAATGTATTTAAATAAATTTTTAAAAATTTTTAAATCAAAAATTTAAATAAATTTATATAAATAAATTTTAAATAAGTGTGCAGTTTTATAAAGTCTACAGTAGTGTACAGTTATGTCCTAGGCCCTCACATTCATTCATCACTCACTCACTGACTCACCCAAAGCAGCTGCCAGTGCCGTGAGCTCCATTCATGGGAAGTGCCCTCTACAGGTGGACCAACCATTTTTTTTTTATGCTGTAAGTTTTAGGGAACATGTGCACAACGTGCAGGTTTGTTACATATGTATACATGTGCCATGTTGGTGTGCTGTACCCATTAACTCGTCATTTACATTAGGTATATCTCCTAATGCTATCCTTCCCTCCTCCCCCCACCCCACAACAGGCCCCGGTGTGTGATGTTCCCCTTCCTGTGTCCATGTGTTCTCATTGTTCAATTCCCACCTATGAGTGAGAACACGCGGTTGGTTCTTTGGTTTTCTGTCCTTGCGATAGTTTGCTGAGAATGATGGTTTCCAGCTTCATCCATGTCCCTACAAAGGACACGAACTCATCATTTTTTGTGGCTGCATAGTATTTCATGGTGTATATGTACCATATTTTCTTAATCCAGTCTATCATTGTTGGACTTTTGGGCTGGTTCCAAGTCTTTGCTGTTGTGAATAGTGCCACAGTAAACATATGTGTGCATGTGTCTTCATAGCAGCATGATTTCTAATCCTTTGGGAATATACCCAGTAATGGGATGGCTGGGTCAAATGGTATTTCTAGTTCTAGATCCCCGAGGAATTGCCACACTGACTTCCACAATGGTTGAACTAGTTTACAGTCCCACCAACAGTGTAAAAGTGTTCCTATTTCTCCACATCCTCTCCAGCACCTGTTGTTTCCTGACTTTTTAATGATCGCCATTTTAAATGGTGTGAGATGGTATCTCATTGTGGTTTTGATTTGCATTTCTCTGATGGCCAGTGGTGATGAGTATTTTTTCTTGTGCCTTTTGGCTGCATAAATGTCTTCTTTTGAGAAGTGCCTGTTCATATCCTTCACCCACTTGTTGATGCGGTTGTTTGTTTTTTTCTTGTAAATTTGTTTGAGTTCTTTGTAGATTCTGGATATTAGCCCTTTGTCAGATGAGTAGATTGCAAAAATTTTCTCCCATTCTGTAGGTTGCCTGTTCACTCTGATGGTGGTTTCTTTGGCTGTGCAGAAGCTCTTTAATTTAATTAGATCCCATTTGTCAATTTTGGCTTCTGTTGCCATAGCTTTTGGTGTTTTAGACGTGAAGTCCTTGCCCATGCCTATGTCCTGAATGGTATTGCCTAGGTTTTCTTCTAGGGCTTTTATGGTTTTAGGTCTAACATTTAAGTCTTTAATTAATTCAAGATGGACCAATCATTTTTTAAATCTTTATTCCATGTTTTTACTGTACCTTTTCTATATTTAGATACATAAATACTTGACATTGGGTTACAATTGTCTACAGTATTCAGTACAGTAACCTGCTGTCCAGGTCAGTAGCCTGGGAGCAATAGGCTCTACAATATAGCCTAGGTGTACAGTAGGTTGTACCATCCAAGTTTGTGTAAATGCACTCTGTGATGCTCAGACAGTGATGAAATCACCTAAGGACACATTTCTCAGAACATATCCCTATCCTTAAGCAATGCTTTCCTGTAACTATATGGGTATAGATTTATGTAACACCAGCTTCACAATCAAGATACAGAACAATTTCATCACACCCTGACACTCCATAGATCTAGGCTAATGTAAACATATATATATATATATGTTAACATATGTTTGTGTGTATATATATGTTTACATATATATGCTATATACTATTATATATATAGCCATTCTAATAGATTCCAATGGCATCTCATTGGGGCTTTATTTTATTTTGAATTTTGTGAACTTATTTGCCACCTGTGTATATTCTCTAGGGAGGAGTCTGTTCAAATTACTTGCCCACTTTTTTTTTATTATGGTGTATTCCTTCTTCTGTTGAGTTTTGAGAGTTGTTTGTATATTCTGGATTCAAGTCCTTTATACAATATGTGGTTTATAAGTATTTTCTCTCAGGCTGTAGTTTGTTTTTCATTTTCTTAACAGTCGTTTTCAAAAGGAAAATCTTTTTAATTTTGATGAAGTCTAATTTACCAATTTTTTTCTTTTATGAATTATGCTTTTGGTGTCACATCCAATAACTCTTTTTGCCTAACTCAAGGTCAAGAAGGTTTTCTCTTATGTTTTCTCTTATATTTTTTAAAAAAATGTCGTCTTACATTTAGATCTATGATCCATTTTGTAATAAGGGGTGAGGTTTTTCTTGGTTTGTTTTGTTTTGTTTTTGTGATGGATGTGCAATTGCCCCAAATTGTTATTTGTTGAAAAGATAATCCCATTTCCATTGAATTTGTCAAAAATCACTCAGTCATATCTGTGTCTGTCTGTTTCTGGGTTGACAATTCTGTTCCACTAATCTAAGCATCTAACACTTCACTGATACCCTGAGGTCTTGATTACTGTAGTTTATAATATGTCTTTATATTGGGTAGTGTGAGCCCTCCACATTTATTCTGTTTCTTATGTTTCAAAACTGTTATGGCTATTTTAGTTCTGTTTTCATTTCCCATTAAATTTTAGAACCAGTTTATCTATATCTACCAAAAAAATTATGCTGTGGTTTTGATCAGAAGTACATTATATCTATAGAACAACTTAGAGACAACTGATCTCTTAATTATATTAAGTCTTCCAATCCAGGAACAGAGTTTGTCTCTCCATTTTTTTTTTAGCTATTATTTATTTCATTGGTGTTCTATAGTTTTCTTTATACAGGTCATGCACATGTTCTCTTACATATATAGCTAAGTATTTCATTTTGGGAAAATTTTATAAATGGTATTTGTTTTTAAAATCCTAGTTTCTAGTTGCTTATTGCTAGTATGTAAAAATATGATTTTTTTATATTGACCTTATATACTGCAACCTTGCCAAACTCATTTATTCATTCTAGGAGTTTTTTAAATGTAGATTCTTTGGGATGTTCTATGGTCATGTTGTCTACAAATAGGGCCCAGTTTTATTTATTCCTTTAAATCTGTGTGCCTTTTATTTTTTTTTCTTGCCTTATTTCATTAGGACTTCCAGTATGCTGCAGAATAGCACCAGTTAGAGTGGAAAACTTTGCCTACTATATAACATCACTACTGTGTTTGATGTTAGCTATGGATTTCTTTGTAGACACCCTTAATCAAGTTAAGAAAATTTTATTTATAGTTCGGTGAAGATTTTTATCTTGAATGTATGTTGAATTGTGTTAAGTTCTTTTTCTGCATCAATTGATATGCTTGTGTGTCATTTATTCTTTCATTTGTTAATACAGTATGATGGCTTGTGTTGGTCGATTTTCAACTATTGAACCAGCCTTGCATTCCTGAGATAAACCTCATTTTGTTATGGTATATTATTCCTTTTATATATTGCTAGATTTTATTTGCTAATGTTTTGCTGAGTATATTTGTGTGTTCATAAGGGTTATTGGCCTATAGTTTTCTCTTCTTATAATATTTTTGTAGGTTTTGATTTCAGGGTAATTCTAGCATTATAATTTGAGTTGTGAAATGTTCCCTCTTCTTATACTTTCTGAAAGTGATTATATAAAATAGGTGTTTCTTCTTCTTTAAATGTTTGGTAAATTGTAGCAGTGAAACTATCTTTGACTAAAGTTTTTCTTTATCAGAGATTTTGTAAACTATCAATTTTATTTCTTTAATAAATGTAGAACTATTGAGGTTATTCACTTTTTCCTAGCTGAGTTAGTAATTTATTGCTTTCAAATAATTGGTTCCTTTTATTTATTAGATTTATATATATAGGATCATTTGTAGTATTCTTCTTATCCTTTTAATGCCTATGGGTTTTCTGACTTTTGGATTTTCAGAAGTCTTGAATATAAATGCCCCCCTCTCATTTCTCTCTGCCCAGGATGGAATCAGGCAGTAGCCTTTGATCTTGATAAAGCCATCTTGGAGGACATTGCTTAGATCTGGACAGGAGGTTTGCCCACATACCCTGAATTGTGCTTATTCACCTAATCATAGCAGTCCTGAAAAATACAGTCCTCCTTATACAAGCCAGCCTCTGCAGGTCATGTTGCTTGGAGGAGAAAATGTGCTCTCTGTATATAGCAGATGTCAAGGCAGCAGAAGAAAAGGGAAGTAAAAGGAGATTCCCTGCATGCCCAGTTCCTTCTCACTCACTCATAAGATGAAGAGATGATAAGCTTATTATGCTAGCGGAGGTCCCTCTGCATGGAAGCAGGGGTCAGAGAAAGGAGATTCCTCTCCAATAAATGTTTTTGGTGACTGCACATGAGCTATACTCTGATGACTTCAGAAATTACTAGGGAAGTATTGGAGGGAAGGTGGCCTGATGGTCCTGCAGTAACAGGTGGGAATGAGAGCCCAATAAATCTAATTTATTAGGCCAGTGTCCTACATAGGTTATTATCTAACACAGATTAGAAAAATCACAATGAAATATATTAAACACTAGATTAAACATTTGTGACAATGTTGTGACAATATGAAGGAAGTGGTGATGAAGTGCTGGAGGCAGGGGCCAAAATTAGAGTGGGGTCAGGCAAGACTTCATGGAAGCTTCTGACTTGTACAGATAATGAATAGGAGACCTATGTGGCTGAACTCAGGGGTATGGGCATGGGAAGAAACTGAGGGAGAAGACGTGGGAGAGACAGTTTGGAGGGAGTTGGAGGATTTTAAATGTCATGTACATATTTGGATGTATTCTTTGGGGGATGGGAGGACAGTAGGGAGTTCATCAAAAACTATACTGGGATAGGCATACTAATTTTGAAAATATTGAAATATTTCCATACCAATTAGGAAAAAGACACTGTTCAAGCGCCTCTGAGTCACTGCCCATCTTCCTCACACATTTCAGCACTGTGGTTCCCCGACCTGGGGTCCCAGCAAGTAAAGGTTAGTGCCTGACCCAGCAAGCCCTGGTGTTGGCCTGTGGCTGGTGTTCGTTCTGATGTTCTGGCTAGTTGGTGCCTGGATATCCTGGTTATTAAATATTTTGTCTCTCTCCATGGAGCTGAGGTTTAGAAAGTACCCTTAAGCAGCAGGGAGGAAGACATGGGGGATAAAGCAAGAATTCAGGGTGGATAAGACCTTGCACTTCAGCTCTCTGTCCCCAAGTTCTTCATCTGAATGAGGGCAGGCACCAGACTTCAGATCTCAGAGAACTGTCTTTGTTTGGCTTTAAAAACAAAACCATAGAATTTTCTGTTTACAATGAAAGTTCCAGGAGGGAGAAGTAGTTCCTTGGATCTTGCACCCCCTTTAAGTCAAACAAACATCTGTCAAGGAGGAACAAGACAGAATTTCTTGTGATCAGATGCTCTTGGTTCTACAGCAATTTATCAAAGGCCCACTCATCAATTAGAGAAATATTTGAAAAAGCATCACAGCTCCCACAAGTGCCTCATGTATAATTCAAAGCAATGGCTCCGGATGGAGTGAGGAGGCTACAGAAGCCAGGGTTGGCTTTTGAAGGCAAACCTACCTATTGTTTCTTTAATTCTAAACCAGGGAACACGCTCTGGGACCCTCAAAAATTGCACTTAGCCTTGAATGTAGGAGGCGTCGAAATCTTGAGCCTGAAGTATAGAAACTTCCTCTGCTTCCCTTTGAACTCCTTATAGGGGTCATCATTTCTCAGTTCTTCAAAATTGGGTCTCCCTATGAGTTAGAGGCAAAAGGAAGTGACCCCTCATATCTGGGCAACATTCACTTTCATTGGAGTCTCCAATACTGAGTGGTTCGAAAAAGGCTAAAAATAAAGAAAACAAACAAACAAGGGATCAAATGACACCATGTAAAAACCACACTCCCTCACTTTTCTTACTTCCTTTGCCACACCTCACAATGCAGGTGACATCACCCCTATTTTGTACACAAGGAGACTGGGGCAGAAGGTGGGCTGACTTGCTCAGGGTCACACAACAAATTCACAGTGGATAATATTGGCCCTTCACATACCAGACACTGCCTCTTGGGGTCTGAAACCCAAGTTTTAATTTTGATCCTGTCTTTCTATTTGAACAACATGGAAGCTGATAATCACGAAATTGGTAATTTTTCAGGTTTTTTTTCATTGAAATTTGGTTTCGAATAATAAGGTCTTATTTTAAAAGATCAAATACCTATGCTAAGAACAGTGGCCATGTTGCTTGTATTATTTAAACCACCCCACACCTGAATTTTATTTGAATAGTAGGTTCGTTGATTTCCCTTCTGTGTTGCACTAATGGCATGCTGAGCTCAGCTGAGCTCATATGATTTAGAACCCCAGTGCCACCCAGTTCAGGGCACTTTAACAAAGGTGTGCACAGGGACAGCTGCAGGGAAGACCTCTGTACAGTGGAGAAAATGTTTCCCTTGGACTCAACCCAGAAGTTACTCTTCCTCTTCAAAGTGGGTCCCCAACTGCCCTTGAAATATGGCAGGACACAGAGGTGGCTCTGAGAGGAACAGAGAGGATCCCTGCAGGGCTGTCTTGGCAGTGGGTCACTGAGGACAGACCCTCTGCAAGGCACGTGCAGGGGCAGGCTCACAGTCCTTCTTGGCTCCACACTCTCAGCAGAACACAAGAAATGCGGAAGGTGAAGACTGAACTCTTCACTCTGAATTCTGAGCAATGATAGGAACAGACAATGAGTGCCTTCTCCCATTAGTAAAGAAGACCACTGAAGAAGATGAGATGGCCCAGCCCAGACCAGGAAGGGTAAGAGAGGCCAGGGGCCCAGAGGGGAGGCTCCAAGAGCCTGTACAATGTGAGTGGAGACAGCCAACTGGGACCAAGCAGATCCAGGCAAGCCCCCAGGCAGAAAGGTCCCTGCAGGGAGGGGTCTGACCTGCCCTCACCACTCCATGCCAGGGCCCCAGCATGGCATCTGGAACATGACAGGTGCTCAGCCAGCAGGAAGGAGGAGCCTGGCATCGCCTCCCTGCAGAACTGACCCTCATGTCCCGGTGTGGGGTGAGGCCCCTTTTCTGAGCTCCCTTAATGCCTAGGAGCCCTCATGTGGTTGGGTAATGATCTGAATTCTAGTTGGCTTCCTTCCTGGACCTCGTTTTGCATCCTCAGTATCTTCCCTAGGATACAGCATCTAAGAAGCCCCATAGGAAGGAGGGAAAGAGGGAAGGTGGAAGGGAGTGAGGGATGAAGTAAGGAAAGAAGGAAGGAAGGAAGGAAGGAAGGAAGGAAGGAGGGAGGGAGGGAGGGAGGAAGGAAGGAAGGAAGGAAGGAAGGAAAGGGAGGAAGGAAGGAAGGAAAGGGAGGGAGGAGGAGACAGGAAAAGGAGGGAAGGAAGCAGGAAAGGAGGGATGAAAGGAAGGAATGAGGGAGGGATGAAGGAGGGGGAAGGAAGATGGGAGGAAGGAAGGAGGGAGAGAAGGAAGAAAGGAAATAGGGAGGGAGGAAATGATGGAGAGAGAAGGGAAGGGAAAGGAAAGGAAGGGGAGGGGAAGGGAAGGGAGGGGAGGGGGAATAGGGAAGGGGGAAGAGGAAAGGGGGAAGGAGGAAGGGGGAAGGGGGAAGGGGAAGAGTTTCTTTAGCCACACTGGGCTAAGGGTTTCACCAATAACTGAAGGATGAGAAGAAACTGGAAGGGAATAGCAGGTCCCACTGCGCATCCTTTATTCACTGCGGAATGTGATGATGCTGTTGTAAATTGTGTAGGGAACAAGACACAGTCCTCCTCCTGCAGTGGAGCTCAGTTTGCTGCTGTTCTATGAGCATGTGAGCCTCATGCCTCTAGGGCCTATCTTGGTCGTGTTGTTGTTACTAGCCCCTGGAGTATAACAACTTAATAAATATTGGTTGACTTAATAAATGAGTGGGGGAGTGAATAAATGATGGATCCTTTTTCTGTTCTCTGCCAAGTCCTGGCTCCTCGAGCCCCTCCGTGTGTGGTTACACATGGTTACCTGGCCTGGCTGCACTCCTGATGGCAGGACCCCACAGCCTGCAGCTCACAAGAGAGGGTCAGACCAGCAGCCCATCCAGCATGCTGGCTCCTCCTTGGAAATGCCCAGCCTCACAGTGAAAACCACCACGTGGGGCCTTCCAGTGGAGGAAGACGCTCTGCCTGAATCTGAAGCTTGCTTTATTTTCCTAATCATGTTCTGCCCTTAGTATAGAGGTAAATGAGAGAATGCTCCTTCCCTATTTTCCCCTCTGTAAGATGAGATGGCTACCCCAGAAGATCCCCAAGTTTTCCAGCATTTTAGGCAAAAACGAAGGCAGGGTGTAAGTGGCAATGGCACTCTGGTGCCTTCCCACAACCACTCCACAGAGAGTGCCCAGTGTTCTGGGGAGCGTGTGTGGGATGGGCTTGGGAGGAGATGTGAGTGAGCACGAGTTAGCATTCATGTTTGGGCCTGGGAAAATGTGTCAGAGACACAGAGGGGCCCTGCTGTCACTCTTGCCACCTCCTCCCCAGACTGTGAAGACAGCTGACTTCCAGACTGGAAAGACAACCTGCTTCCTGACTGCAAGCTGGGTGGCGGGGCTCCCTGCCTCCAGGCTGAGAGTTGGAGAATGGTTGAACACAGCAATGCAATGCTGGCTTGTAATTTTATTTTCTGAAGACATTTCAGGGAATGAGGATAGAAACCATCAAAAAACCTAATGAAAGCTGTAGATCCTCTGTCCAGAGAAATGCACAGACACCTGATATTTGCATCTGACATAAGGGAAATGAAGACCTAGAAGTCCATTTCTGAGCTCTGGGACCCAAATAGAGCCTCCTACTGTAAAGCCTTCTAAAGCAGAAAGGTCTAGGAGACAAGATCCCTGCATTCTACCTCTAATCTGGGCCCTGCTCCATCCAGCACTGCTTTCCTCATTCTGGCTGGCCTCAACCTTACCATCTGTAAAATGGACAGCCAAGGAGAGGATGAGGGCTAGAGTTCATTGATTATAATCACAAACCCTGAGAGCACCTGCTGTGTGCTGGGGGTCCGAATGCTAAGCTGGGAAGCAGGCACTTGGGACCTGGGAGGGGAGTGCAGGATTTGAGGGGAACGTGCTCTTCTCCACAGACCGGGTTCTTGGGACCTTCAGAATACATTTCTTTTTCTCTGGCATTAGAACATGACCTGTTCTGATGGAGGACCCATTAGTTGGACTGAGACTGCAATGGCTTTCTTATTTGAAGATGAGAAGAATTTAGACTCTCTACTTCTCTTCCGCAGCTCTGTCTAAAACAGGGGCATAACAGCAGTTGGGTTTCCTTTGGCAATGGAGACTCCACTACTGGCTTCCTTCCAAGTCATCTTAAAAAGGGCCTTACAGAGAGCTGGGAATGGGGTCACAGCCACCTTTTCAAGAGTAGGAACCAAGAACCTGTGACTTGCCTCAAGTCCGCCTGACCAGGACTGGCACCAGCCTTTCCGAGCCTGGTCTGAGTGTTGGGTGAACTCACAGCACCATATGAGTGAGAACAAAGAGATTTCTCCCTCTCTCCCAGAGCCTCTTCATTCCTGGTCTCCATCCTCCTTCACAGCTTTGCTCTTCCTCCCCCTAATAATTCCCAGGCCAAGGGGGAAGGGGCTTTTTTGCTCAGTAGTCTGGACTGAGAAGGAACCAGCCTCTCCTATGGTGATCATCAGACAGAAGTGCTCTGCTTGGGAAAGCTCACTCCTTGCAGCTGCAAGCTCTGTCTAGTTGATGTTCCATCCTGTCTGTGGTCAGCACTCCCTGGGCCTTCCTTCTCCCACCATCACCATAGTCCCCTATCCATTCCCTTTGAGCCCCCATCCCCATTTCTTCATGGGCAGGAGGCATAGTGGAGCTTCTGTTGAGGTTTGCTTTTGGACTTAGATCGTATCACATTCTTCAGATGGAAGCCATTAATCCCACTCCAAATTATGATCAACTCACAAAAATAATCACCAAAAACCTATGGAGCAAAGGCTCTGTTGGCCAACTTCTTCAAGACCTTGCTCCATCATTCAAAGACCATTGCCCTGTCCTGTGGCCTGCAGTTTCCTTCTGTGGCCTCATACAACCTTCCTTCTACCTCTGTGCCTTCCTCGGGGCTGTTTCCTCACCTTCTCCACCACTCAAAACCCCTCTCACCCTTCAAGACAGCTCCACACCCCCTCCTCTAGGAAGCCTTTCCAGACTACCCAAACCTGAGTGGGAGAAACTGTTTAACCCCAGGCTAGCTGCATGTCTTTAAGAGGAGGCCAAATGGTGCCAAGCCCCATGCCAGCTGCTTCAACAGGACAATGCCTCAGTTAGTCCCCATGACAACCCGTTGAGATAAATGTTAATAATCCCGTTTAACAGATAGGGAACTGAATCTGCCAGGTTGGGGGTGGGGTGGAAATGGGAAAAATGCCTGACCCCAAGCTTGTGTTTTGTTCCACTGCTCTGCCCAGCCTCCTGTCCCTGCACTGAGCATTTCTTTCATTCTGACTTATTTACCCTGGGTTGTTTGTGTGGGTTCTCCTATGGATCTGGGGTCCCCTCCTGAGAACAGAGGCTGCTGTATTCCTCTGTGCCTCCTTCCCGGTACTGTGCACAGAGGGACTACTCAGCCAATGTTTGAAGGATTGAATTAAATCTTGCCACGTAGTGGTTGGCATTTTCCCCACACCTAGAGCTGCAGTAATGAAATTTCCACCATATGCCTTAAAGGATTAAAATGTTGAAAATGTCACAACCTGGAGGAAACCAGAGCTCTTGAAATTTACCAATAAAACAATAGCTGCTGTGTATGGAGCATCTGCCGTGTGATCAGCTGTGCACTTTGTCTCTGATTCTTGACAATCACCCCGGGAATGGTTGGATATTCAGTTGACTCCAGAATAGCTGCATCAGGGTTTATGGCTGGCATTGGTTCTGATTGGTCAGGTCCCCTACAAACCACTTGTTATGTATTAATATTTTCATACAGCACCTGCTTATAAGTCACATGCTGCTATGGACACACCATTTTATGGATGAAAAAACCAAAGCTCAGAGGAGAGAAGAAAATTCCCAAAGCCACACAGCTAGACATTGCAGCCCAAGCAGCCTATGGCACACACAATGTAAACAGCACACCATTCCACCTCAAACCTGGCTTCCAGCCCTCCCTGTCCCAGGCTAGATTGGGCCTTCTCCCACCCTCCATGAGATTACAGTCAGTGATCACTACAGGGTGGGTGGGGGCTGGCTCACTCACAAACCACACCTCCAGGCAGTGCAGTCCATTTGCTCACAAGAGAAACACTCCTGTGGGACACCAGCTTTGCCATCCGAGCAAAGAGCTGCATTAGCACTGGTGTGCAACAGAGCTCGGGGCTACCTGGACCCTAGAGCTTGGTGGGCTTGGTGGTCCCACTGTTTACATGGAGATGGAGTGAAGGCAAAACAGGTTACTTGGAGAAATGGATTGCAAGAGCTGATCTTTAGTGGTTCATATTTTGCTAACTCCACAGGGAGTAAGCCATGAATTTGGGGACACGCAGTCTGGTGCCCATCACTGTGTGAAACTGACCAGGGCCCTTGCCCTTGCTGTCTGAGCCTTACTTCCCCACCTGTAGAGCTATCTGGGCTGGCTAGACCCTGAGGTCCCTTCCAGTTCTCCTACTCTGTGAAGGTTGAGGCTGAGCTCTGGGGTCCAATGGCCTGTGCTCAAATGCCAGCACTGAGGTGGGGGAAGTGTCCGCTCAGCTTCCCTGGGCTTTGGCTTCTGCATTTGTCAAATAAGGGCAATAAAAGCAATAGCTACCTCAACCAAACATTACACTTAAAGTGGTAAAGTGCTTAGAATAGCCCTGTCACGTGGCACAGGCTCACGAGCCCTGCATAGTATTACCTTAAGCTGATATGGTCACTCTGGCTCCGAATCTTGCCCAGCAAGTACCATTTTCATGATGCAAGTGGGAAATGAAGATCCAGAGAGTTTAAGTAACTTGCTCAAGGTCACACAGCTAAAACAGGGCCCGGACCAGTCCTCTGTCTCCCCCATGTCCCTGAGCTACACTTCTCTCCTCCTGCACCCTCACCCACCCCAGGAAGGAGAAGAGTGGTTTGGGCAGCAGGTGAGAGCAGGTCTTCTCCAAGGTGGGAGAAGAAACAGCCTGTGTGTTTCTCCATCCCTGTATCTAACTGTCTACCACAGCCAGCCGGCAGGAGTGGGAGCTATCTGGAGCCTATGTTCAGCAGCCTGGGGCTTCAGGCCTAGTTTCTTTGCTTACCAGCTGTGTGACTTTGAGCAGGGCAGGCAACCTCTCTGGGCCTCCGTGTCCTGATCAGTAACATAAGGGAAAGCAGCCCTGCCCAGTCTACTTACAGAGCTGTTACCAGCATTAACCACAATGTCAGATTTAAAAGTTCTTCCCAGGCTGGGCGCGGTGACTTACACCTATAATCTCAGCACTTTGGGAGGCTGAGGCAGGCAGATTGACTGAGGTCAGGAGTTCGAGACCAACCTGGGCAACATGGTGAAACCCTATCTCTACTGAAATACAAAAATTAGATGGGTGTGGCGGTGTACACCTGTAGTCCCAGTTACTCAGGAGGCTGAGGCAGGAGAATTGCTTGAACCCGGGAGGCGGAGGTTGCAGTGAGCCGAGATCGCACCACTGCACTCCAGCCTGGGTGACAGAGCGAGACTCCATCTCAGAAAAAAAAAAAAAATGCTTCCTTTTGTGTGGGTGGCAAGGGCCTACACAAGGAAGGCCCTACTGAAGGCTCTGTGTCCATCAGGGACCCTGTGCGGGCTGGCCAGAGGCAGTGGGCTGGCTGGAAGGAGTTGTGCCCATTGGTGGAGGGGCACGCCAGGCCATAGTGACCCCAAAGGGAGGAAGTCAAAGGGTTCCCTACTCTGACTCATCTTCTTTCCCTTCCTGGGGTCTCCTACCCCAGCTGCCCACTGGCTGGACTCAATTGGAAGGCAGAGAACACATGGCCCACCCAGGCATGCCAAAGGGTACAAGCAAGAGAATACAGAGAACAGATCGGTGGGACAAGCAGGAGACATCCAGGGCCCTGTACAGGGGCCTCTCTGGGACCGTGCCCCTCCCTCCCCAGTCCTGCTTCTGCACCCCCAGGAGCTGACTAGACAATAATGGGACACACACTGGAGATAGCACCATCTTCAACCTGTCAGGAGGTTTATTGTAAAAGGAGATTTAGTCTCTTTTTTGCAAGTAAAACAATGAAACCTCCATAATTGTTCCAGGAGAAATAAACATGCCAAAATATTTAAGTACTAATAAAACTTAAGAATTATCTCAGCATATTTAAATATAGATGTATTTTTATGGCAGGCAATGAAGGCAATTGCCAGCAGAAAGCCTTTCATCTAGGCCATTTAGTACTCACCCTCCTCCTTCAAGGCTTGGGTGGGGAGGGGACGAGAAAGGGGCTGGGGTGGAGCCTGCACAGTGACGGGAAGAGGCTCCCCTTGCAGGCAAGTGGGTCACATGCAGTCACTGAGCAGGGACACCAGATGCTGGGCTGGACCCTCTTTATGCTGCTTGTGACTCCCTCCATCCCTGCCGCAGCCCTTGGTGGTTCTAGTATCATCTCTATTTGACAGCAGAAGAATCCAAGACACATAAAGGTGAAATAACTTGCCCCAGGCCTCACAGCTGGTAACTGCTAGAGCTGGAATGACATAGCCTGACTGCAGAACTTACACTCGCTCATTACTGCCTGGCCCTGCACGAGGAACAAGGGATACAGGTGTACAGTGAGCTGAGGTCAGGGCCCTCTCAGCCCTTGCCAGGACTATTCAAAAACCTCTGAACGAGTGTCACAGACTCTGTTCCTACATGCCTGTCCAACACTCCCCACATCCATTCTCAGGGCTGCCACGAAGGCTTCTCTCTCACTCTGTGTGTGTGCACACGTATATTATCTGTGTGTGTGCACAGGGGACTTTGCCATCTTCTGCTGAATTGTGCTTCCTTTCTTGAGACTGCAGTTCAAGCCATTAACAGATACCAGGAGCGGCATGCAAAGATGAAGAAAATACAGTCCCTGCATTTGAGGCAACTTCAGGAAGAAACTTTCAGAGTTTTTTCCTTAAAACTCTACACCCACTTAAAACTCACTTCTCATTTCAGCCCCTGGCAACCACCATTCTACTTTCTATTTCTTTTTCTTTGTTCTTTTTTTGAGACGGAGCTTCACTCTTGTTGCCCAGGCTGGAGTGCAATGGTACTATCTTGGCTCACTGCAACCCCCACCTCCTGGGTTCAAGCGATTCTCCTGCCTTAGCCTCCCAAGTAGCTGGTATTACAGGGGTGTGCCACCACGCCTGGCTAATTTTGTATTTTTAGTAGAGACAGGGTTTTACCTTGTAGATCAGGCTGGTCTGGAACTCCTGACCTCAAGTGATCCACCTGCCTCAGCCTCCCAAAGTGCTGGGATTACAGGTGTGAGCCACCACGCCCAGCATCTACTTTCTATTTCTAAATTTGATAGTCTAAGTCCCTCATGTAAGTGGACATGTACAATATTTGTCTTTTTGGACTTATGCTACTTAGCACAACATCCTCAAGGTTCATCTGTTTTATAGCACATGTTGGAATTTCCATCCCTTTTAAGGTTGAATAGTGTTTCATTGGGTGTGTATAGACCACATTTTGTTTATTGATTCATCTGTAAGGGGACACTTGGGTTGCTTCCACCTTTTGGCTGTTGTGACTAATGCTGCTATAAACATGGGGGGTACAAATAGATGTTCAAGTCCCTGCTTTCCTCTCTTTTGGCTGTATACCCAGAAGGGGCATTGCTGGGTCATAGGGGACTCTATGCTTTTGTTTTTGAGGGATCACTATACAGTTTTTAACAGCAGCTGCACTATTTTACATTCCCACCAGCAGTCCACAAGGGTCCCAGTTTCTCCACATCCTCACCAACACTTGTTATTTTCTGCTTGTTTCTTGTTGTTTTTAGTCGCCATTCAATGGGTGTGAAGGGGTATCTCACTGTGGTTTCAATTTGCACTTCCCTAATGATTCGTGATGTTGAGTATGTTTGTATGTTCTTATTGGCCATTGCTATATCTTCTTTGGAGAAATGCCTATTCAAGTCCTTTGCCCATTTTTTAGTGGACTTGGTTTTATTATTGCTGTGGTTTAGTTGTTACCCATGTCCTATTTCAACATCAGATGAACCACTCAACCATCTTCCCACTGGTAACAGAAATGTGTGAATGAGCATGTGTAGCAATGGGTAGAAAACAAGCATTTATGAAACACTTATTTAATCCTCACAATAATTTCATGAAGAGCTATGATGCTTATACATGGGAAAGCTGAGGTTCAAAGAGATTAAGCAGCTTGCCTAAGGTCACGCAGCTGGTACGCAGGAGAAAGGTGTTTGGATCTTAGCCCTCACCATAGCCTATCTCTAAGATGATGCCACTCTGTCTCCCAGGCTGCCTCTCTGAAGAAGCCCAGGCTCCTAAAACAGAGCAGGAGGACAGCCACAGCAATGTCGAATCCATTATTGTAATCTGCACCAAAGAGACATCCCTAGGTGAATGATGTCACCAGAAGGTTCGGACCAAGGCCCACCATTAATCTCATGGTTACAAACAATATAGGAAGATTATGCTGGCCTCCAGCCCAGTTAAGTGGACATTTGGATTTTTTCCAAAGCAAATGTGGATACTGTAAATACAGGTCAGCTGGTTTGCAGGAAATCAGCATCTAGACGAAGACGTGTCTAGCAAGAATTTCCAAAAGTCCTACTGCAAAGAGCCTGGGTCACAGGGTGGCCGCTTGGAGTACGTCTGTCACTTATAAACTGCTGTTTTTCATGCATTCACTTGTAACATACTTGCTGAGGGACTCCTGGGTGCCTGGCTGTTTGCTGGGCTTGGGTTCAGGTGTGAATCCTGGAGGTAGAGAGGGGCAGGGAATTATGATCCTGGCAACCTTCTCTTCTCCAGAACAGTCCACCTTCAAACAGAAAATTGACATGCAGAGAGG
Source organism: Homo sapiens (assembly GCF_000001405.40). Lineage (NCBI taxonomy): Eukaryota > Metazoa > Chordata > Mammalia > Primates > Hominidae > Homo > Homo sapiens. The sequence continues at coordinate 78,621,998 of NC_000010.11, forward strand.
TGGGATCCTTACCTGCAGTCACACAGCAAGTGGAAAAGCTGGGAAGACATCCCAAGTCGCTATTAAGTCACTTGACTGCCCTACATCCCAATATTGTTGTTGTTTAAACTACTGAATTTTCTAAATTGCTTCCCTTTCTCGGAAAGGGTACAGCAATCCTTTGCCACAATGTATGTCCTAATTTTGGTTTCTAGACATAAAGTAAATGTAGATATGACTCTATTTATTTCCCTGGGGAGCACATAGTTAGAGGTTAACCCTTCTTCCCAGGGAAAATTAGAGAACAACACAAGAAGGTAATAAATGTGAGTGCTCATGGCATGGTTTGATTAAGTATCTCATGAGTGGGACAGACAATGAGTCCTTTTAATCGACTTCTGCTCAGGGTCTAGGAGAAGGATTGTCCTCTTTCATTAACGCAAACCCACAAGGGCTGCAACTTCACTCCAGGCACTTTACAGGGACTGGATCAAGTGGTCCTGGAAGGGGGCCCCAAGTTTCCCCTTCTCCTTGGGGGTGGGTGTTGCCATACCAGGCTGGTTCTAGGGGTGCTGCTCTCCTGATAGAATTGGCCAGGGATAGATTTCATATTTCCTTGTTGATACCCTTAGCAGAGTTGAGATAGGATTCACTTGCTTAAACACCAAGGGAATAGGGGAGTAAACATAGAAAGATCTAGAAGTAGTGTTTCAGGCCAGGGGCTTTGCCCACCATTGCTGGCTCACCCCTAGATCTCTGCCCAAACTTCATGCCAGAAGAGTTGGTTGCTGACCCAGGGCTCCCAGACTAGGATTTGGGAATCCTGGCTTTGGGGCTTTGGGGCTTCTCCTGGACTAGGATTTGGGAACCCTGGCTTTGGGGCTTCTTCTTGGTAAGAGATGTCATTTGGCCACTCTATGCAGATGATAAATTCCTCGTTTCTTTAGCATAGAAACTAAATCTTAATCAAGTATACAGCAAGTATAAATGCTTGGGAAATCTTAGGGAAGGAAAGAAGGAAGGAAGTAAGCAAGGAAGGAAGGAAGGGATGGAGAAAGGGAGGGGGGAAGAGAGGAAAGTGTATCAGTGCATTCTCACTTTTCTATAAAGAAATGCCTGAGACTGGGTACTTTATAAGGAAAAGAGGTTTAATTGGCTCATGACTCCACAGGCCGTACAGAAAGCATGATGCTGGCATATGCTCAGCTTCTTGAGGAAAAGCCTCAGGAAACTTACAATCACGGTAGAAGGCAAAGAAAAAGCAGGCACCTCTTACATGGTGGTAGCAGGAGCAAGCTAGAGAGAGAGAACAGGGATGTGTCCCACACTTTTAAACAACCAGATCTCAATATCAAGAGAATAGCACCAAGGGGATGGTACTAAACCAGTCATGAGAAATCCTTCTCCATGATCCAATCATCTCCCATCAGGCCCCATGCACAACACTGGAGATTATGATTCGACATGAGATTTGGGTGGGGACACAGATCCAAACCATATCCGAAGTAAAGGGGGAACAAAATAAAGAAAAAAAGAAGGAAAGGAAATAAGAAAGGTAGGTAGTGAGAGAGAGAGGAAGGAAGGGATAAACACAGAGGAAAAGAAAAAAGAAGGAAAGAAAGAAGGAAGGAAGCAAAAAAGAAAGGGAGGAAGAAATAAGGAAGGACAAATAGAAAACTTTCTTTTTAACAAAAGCCATGAGATTCATCTGGTTTTTCTGCATTTGTTGGGAGTGGCAGATATTTTTGTCAGTAAAGCCTGGTATATATAACTGGTAGTCACTTAATGTTTGCTGAGAGAATGGATGACTGTTATGGAGATTTCTGATTTGTTTACTTAAGGGGAGTTCTCCTTATGGAATCATAATGGCCACGATTAGTAAGATCAAGAGGAATATGCAGACTAAGGCTTTGATTTTAAATCACAAGGAAATACACAAGCACATGATAAAATTTTCATATTAGCAGGCCAGTTTGAACTCAACGTAGCCAAGCTATTCTCAATGCCACCTGTGTTTAGTGTGACTTCGAGGTCACAGCCAGTCCAAGATCATTTCTCTGAGTCAAGCTCTTATATCACCAGTGAAAGGGCTCTTGTCTGAACGCAGCTCATGACTCACCTCTTAACTTTCAAACTGAGAGCATGAAAATTCTCAAATGAGCTAGAGGAGGTTATCTAGGGATAGTCAGAGAGAGGGAAGAAAAGGAGTGCCTATCTAGTTGCTGATGGAAACAGACTGATTAATCCAGATACAAAAAAGACATTTCCTTAAACATTTCTGAATTCAGAATTGTTTGCTATCAATTAAAATGTTGAGATGATCTCTTTTTTTCTAAGTGGTGGCTTCACCCTCTCCTGAACCATTTCCCTTCCAGAAAATCAAGACCTTCTACCACATTCACTCCGCCTCCCAGTTCATGATTCAGAAAATGAAGTTTGAAAAAGCACCTAAAAATGGAAGAGGAGTGAGGAGCTCTGCAGGGTGAGGCCCAACATCTCGCCACATTAACCCTGCGAACTCAGCCCCAGTAAACGAGGCTGGGAGCCATTAATGCCTAATGATGTTGCATTGTCTTCCAATAACAAACCATCTCACCAGTTGGTTTTATAGAGGACCAGCTGTTGTTAATTGGGGAAGATGAGCATGAAATGGCAGCTTTCACACCTGACCAAGAGAGAGCTGCAGCATCAGGGGGCAGGCTGAGCCTCTCCTGCATGCAGGGGGGCTGCTTAGATCTGCCTTGGTGAAGGGGAGATGCAGACAGTACCCTGGGGTTCCCGCTCCTCTCACATCCTTAGGGGGCAGAAAGAATAGGAGAGCTCAAGTTCCTTTAGCATCTCACCATCTCCTTCCCAAGCCCAGTGACATCCCACATACCATGCTGTGGCATCTTTGTGTACCTGTGGGAGTCCCTCTAGCAAAGTGAGGGGCAACTCAAAGCTAGGGGCCCAACATTGCACCCCGAGAGCCTGGCCCAGAATCTGACATAGTCCAGACTCTGCAGAGGAGGCATGGCCAGGTTCTTTACCACTGACCCTAGTCTCTGCTCCCTGGACACAGGTGACTGGCCCAGGAATAGACAGCAGTTTATAGGCTACCAACAACCAGTGACATGAGGGCCTGGCTCTCACATAGGAGCTGGGTCGATCACATTTTCTCCCTTGGCATTTCATCAAAGAGACACAAAAAGAGATGGTCACCTAGCAGTAGGCTCAAATCAAAGGGAGTAGGGACCACATCTGTGATATAGAGAGGTTAGGGCAGCCATGGAAGGAGTCAGGATTAAGCCAGCTGGTCCATAGGGACAGGAAACTGGTGTGCACACTTGAGAAGGGACAGAGGTGTCAGAGGGAGACTTCAAGAAAGTTCCCGATCAGGATATGATTTAAAGCATGTTGGATCTGGGAGCCACAGACTGCCTCAGTGGGGTCACATCCTTGGTCTTCCAGGAGCGCTCACTTTGCCGTATGATAAATCCACCAAAGGAGTCAGCCCCTGTTCTTTGTATTCCAGAGCTCCGTGTCTAGAAAAATTGCTCCAAAGAGCCATCCCTCAAGATTGGCAAAGAGACATAGGCACTGTCTGGTGAAAGGCAGGTCCTGAGGTTTTGCCATGAAAGCCGAAGGAGCTGGGAACTCTCACGTGTGGAATAGCAATGGTGTGCACGTAAACTTGGAGTCACGGGTGGTCTTCCTAACACACCTGGAAGCATGTTAGTTACATTATCCCCATTTCTCAGATGGGAAACTGAGGCTCTGTAATGTCGAGCATCCTGCTCATCTTCAGTGAATGGCAGACTTGAAGCAAGTCCGTGTGACTCCCCTCCAGTTCTCTTTTGATAGCACTGCACTGTTGCTGCTGGCATTTGAGAACCACTGCAGGCTCTCTGCTGGCGCGCAGAGCCAGGGAGCTCAGTCAAGCGGCCTTGACTCCTGCAGACTGAGAAAAGGACAGGCCTCGCTCCTCACCTGTTTGCCTTTATTCTCAGCATTGCTGCGAAAGACGGGAATGCGGAACATTAAAACATGTACTGTAAATAAACCAAATTAAAGTAAAATTGACTCATTTAGCAACCAGCCTCCGATCTTGCATTAGAAGCAATTGAAGAGATTTCACAGATTTTAGTAACCAGATAAGATTATTATATAAACAGACTTCTGCATTGAATGATGAGCCATATCTTGAGGAGAATATTTGAAATCAATAGCAATACAGGCTGAGAATTAAGTAATGTGGTTAAGCACTTTTGAATGATGCCATTTTTAAGAGCTGATTAGAAATAAATATGCCAATTGCAGCAGAGCTGATAGCTGGAATCAAGTGATGATTAATCAATTTGGGCCTGAGAGCCAGGGAGGCCATCTTGGGGAGAATGTTGCCAGCCCTGCACTCCAGCTTGCTGGAAAGGGGTTGAGAATGCTCTGGGGCCTGATGCAGCAGGCTCGGGGCTGTACAGAGGCCAATGGTGGCCCCGAGAAGGTCTGAGAAAGATGTTAGAGTCCTCGTGCAGAAGCCTAGCTCTGCCCACCTGGTGCTGGCCACCACGGTGTTTGGGAAGGTGCCTGAGAGCCGGCACAGGATTAGCTGTAAGCTGCTTAAGCTGCTCACGCAGGGTGAGCCTGCAGCAGAGAGGAAGTTATGGTTGGGGACACTGGTGACCCTGGGATTGCGTTTCGAATGCCCAATTACCACTCGACTGGAAAATGATTGGTCTTTTGGCGGCCCTGTAATCATCTCTCACCTGGACAATTGCACCAGCTTCCTGATGGGTCCCCACATGAACCGTGAGCCTGGCGGATGCATTCCACACATAGTCACCATGGTGATCTTTCTAAAGCATTGCTCAGATCTTGTCACTCACCTTGTAGAAACCCAGTGCTGCCTCCCCTGCACCTTAGGTCAATTCCAGATACCTTAGCTTAGGGTTCAAGGCCCCCTCATGGCCCAGTCATCTCTAGTTGCCTCATTTTTTCCTTTCTCCCATTCCTGCCCTATGATCGCGTCAAACAGAAGGTTTTATCAGTGCCCAGGAATCCCCTGTTCTTTGAGTGTTGTCTCTGCTCCTGCTGGGCCCTGCCTACTTCCCTGTCTACAGAAGCCCCAGCCCCTCTCCCACCTAATTCAAAGGCCACCTCCTTGGGAAAGCCCACTTTGACTGTTCCTTTCCCCAACCCAAACATAAGCACAACTAGCTGGTCTCTCTTTGTTACAATCCTTTTCCTGTTTCATATCACTATCATTCATTATGTCTTTTTATTCTATAAGTACTGATTGGCACTTTTGCAGTGCTACTCACTCTGGCCTAACCCTAGAGATACAGGGAGAGAACACAGACATGGCCCCTCCCCTCCTGGAGCTCAGTATTTCACTCAGGCATTTAATGCTTTGTGCAACTGTCTCAACTCTGGGGGGCAAGACATTCTTATTTAATTCTCCTGGCACAAGTGAATGAATGAATGAATGAATGAATGAATGTGAGATAACACAAATGAATAAGAGGCAAAGGTGGATCAGTGGATGGAGGCTGCAATAAAGCAAATTTTTGCTTGGTGGAAGAAGCTGGGGTTTTGCCCAGCACTGCATAAACTGCCTTCCATGGGGTCGAGCTCTCAGGAACTTGAGGCATCCATGCGGAGGAAAACCATCTGTCAAAGAGAGGCCCGAAAAGACAGAATTGGCTGGGGATTGAAGTTGCAGGGCTGGGGGCTCTAGCCTCAGCCCTATCACTGACTCACTATGTGAATTCAGGTAGACCTTAGCAAGAGCATATCCTCTCTTTGAGCCTCAGCTTCCCTGTCTGTAAAATGAAGACATTGGACTATAAGTGGTAGAAGAAAATGGGATACTTCTTCTTGAATGTTGGTGACCTTCAAACAACCTCTTCAACAGCGCACCATAAATAAGGTTCTATATGTCATGTTAGACACAGAGAAAAATTTTAACAGGTATGAGATGATGGAAGAAAA